>NC_000014.9:70066258-70217773 GCF_000001405.40 Homo sapiens | reverse complement strand
TCTTCATTTTTACAACTAAACTACAAATAATATCTTCTTCTTGGGGTTTTTAAAGGATCTATTGTAATAATTCAAGTAAAACCCTTGGAACATTCCTTGCCATTTATATATGTTTCCTATTATAATTCCTACCTGTCATAGTGTAGTCATTTCACTTTGGATCCCTTGCTGTAAAGGAAACTCCGTCCCTCCACCCTCAAAGGTATCACCTCAGCCAGACAATTAGATCAGATCATAATAGTCCAGCAACTGTGCCTTTGGGGGTGTTCTGTCCTAAGTCATTCCACACATGGACATCAATCATCCAGCCCATGTTGAGCTGAACCATGGGCAGTGCAATTACTTTTTATAGTTTCTATTCATCAGGGAAGATCCTGCTTCATGTCCCTTCTGCAGTTTTTAGTTTCCCAGATTTAGTTAACCTGCATATAATTCATCAAAAAGGAACATCAATAGCTTCACCACAACTAGCAACATGAGGCAAGGCAGTCTCTAAATCCACATCTCTAAATTCACACAGGCAAACAACATTCTTTCCATCCTCATCTTGAACTCCACCCCAAAGAAGTTACGGAGTCTCAGAGGCAGCTCTGATTCAAACACACTTGAGAAGACCCAGTACCAAACAGAATATTGAGCATTCCATCTAAATCATTTGAATGAGGTTAAGGGTGTTCCACCTGCTCCCTCCACTCCATTCCCTCACCCCTGCCTCCAGAAGATAAAATACACTCTCTACCTCCTTTAGGAGTGAAAAAAAAAAAGCTGACAATTTTTTAAAGATTCAACAAGAATCTTAAAGGTCTGGCTTTAAATAATCACACCTATATATTAATATAGATTGTAAATATAAATACATGCAGTTTTAACAAAATAGATTCTACTCTCAATGATATCTTAAAATCTGCTCTTTTCACTACAGTACTAATATATTTTAATATCAGTGCATTTACTTCTGCAGTGTTTTTTTGGTGGTTTTTTGTTATTCAGCGGTATGAATGTGATCAATTCCCTGTACCTGGACATTTGAATTGTTTCCTGATTCACTCACTAAGAGAACAACGATGTGATAAACATCCTTGTGAATTACATTTATTTACCCTGGAAATTTTTCCTAGATGTTATTCTCCTAAGTTCTTCTCACTTTTGAAAATAGTTTATTTGTAGGAAAAAAATTTGTTTGTTTTTTGTTTTTAATTTTATTTTAAGTTCTGGGGTAGATTTGCAGGATGTGCAGGTTTGTTACATAGGTAAACATACGCTGTGGTGGTTTGCTGCACCTATCAACTCATTGCCTAGATATTAAGCCTGGCATGCATTAGCTATTTTTCCTGATGCTCTCCCCTAAACTGCCCTCCCCCAACAGGCCCCAGTGTTTGTTGTTCCCCTCCCTGTGTCCTTGTGTTCTCATTGTTCAGCTCCCACCTATAAGTGAGAACATGTAGTGTTTAGTTCTCTGTTCCTGCATTAGTTTGCTGAGAATAATGGCTTCCAACTTCATCTCTGTCCCTGCAAAGGACATGATCTCGTTCCTTTTTAAGGCTGCATAGTGTTCCATGGTGTATATGTACCACATTCTCTTTATCCAGTCTATCACTGATGGGCATTTGGGTTGATTCCATGTCTTTGCTATTGTGAATAGTGCTGCAGTGAACATACACATGCATGTATCTTTATAATAGAATGACTTATATTCCTTTGAGTATATACCCAGTAATGGGATTGCTAGGTCAAATGGAGAAAAAAATCTTAAAATATCCTAATTAGAATATTTCATCTATTTCCATTAGACCCTAATTGACACAGAAGCTACTACTTACCAATATCTACTACATATCCTGTACTTTACATTTTTTACTCAAATCACCCAATGGCCTTTTTGTGATTAGTATTATTTTCATTTAAGAAATGAGGGTGAAAAAGCAAAGTAATATGCCCAAGGTGACATATAGTTAGTAGCAGAACTAAAATTTGAATTCTTACTGGCCTCACTTCAAAGATCAGACACTTTCCTTAACACCATATTCCTGAAGAGATTTCATGATTCAATTTTTGTATGCATCCAATAATATTTTAGATGCTGTGAGAAGAGGACCATTTAAAACTGTCAATGAATGAATTTACAAAATGAATAACTACTCACCAACAAAACATTTATGGAAATCAAAATGTTTGGTTATCAGGTAACTGAAATCAAGAGGCATTTCCAATTTGTACCATCTGCTTTGAGATGGATACAACTCCACGCTCTTCCTCAGCGCCTGTTCAAAGCTCTTTGGGAGGTCTCTCTATTCATTAATCTAACTCTTTTCTGTTAGTTATTATCAAAAACATAAGTACTAATTTCAACCTGTTTTAGACTTAACAACAAACAACACATTTAAAAGTCTGTCAGCCCCAGGTGCGGTGGCTCACGCCTGTAATGCCAGCACTTTGGGAGGCCAAGGCGGGCGGATCACGAGGTCAGGAGTTCAAGACCAGCCTCGCCAACATAGTGAAACCCCCATCTCTACTAAAATACAAAAAATTAGCCTGGTGTGGCAGCATGCGCCTGTAGTCCCAGCTACTGGGGAGGCTGAGGCAGGAGAATTGCTTGAACCCAGGAGGTGGAGGTTGCAGTGAGCCAAGATCATGCCACTGCACTTCAGCCTGGGCGACACAGCAAGACTCTGTCTCAAAAAAAAAAAAAAAAAGTCTGTCATGTCACCTATACTCAAGGCATTGTGGAATATAGATTCTGGTTGGTTCTGCTTTGCCCACTCTCTAATGTAAATCTGTCCATTTTCTAGAGAGGTCAGTTTCCACCAGTAGAAGCACAAATCCATCTTGTTAGCCCAACTGATCAACTCTCGAAATTGAATTTGTTTGTATTTGTAGTTTGCAGGTACTATAATATTGAGGCTGCCCTTCAGAAAAGTTGGGCTTTTCCTTTATTGACCACCAATGGCCTGTGTCCATTAAGACAGGTTTACCTCCAAAAAAGAGTTTCTTAAGCTGTAAGAAATTCTCTCTCTCTCTCTCTTTTTTTTTTTCCTTAAGAAGGATTCCTGAAGTAGGCAGTTCCAGAGCTGATCAGCAACTCACAAATGTGATCGGGAGTCCAGACACTTTCCATCCTTCAACACCAGCATCATTAGCAGACTGGCTTCTCATCCTCATACTCATCATCTCACTGTCATGAGCAGGCTGCCACAGCTCTAAGCATCAGGGCTTCATGCTAATTACATTCAAAGATGAGAAAAAGAGGGCAAAGGAAAAATACCTCTTCTGTTCATCAGGAAAGAATTTCCCAGATTTTCTCCTGTTCCCATGGTGGGAACTGAATCACATGGCCATCTCTAACTGTAAGGCAGGCCAAAATGTGAGTATCTGGCAAAGAGGCTTCAGGGTCCCATGATTGGCTTAGACCAATTACAATTTGTATTTATTGAGCCCTTTAATTCCTACCTTTTGTGTGCCTTTTTTGATCTTCACTCTTACTGCAGTCAAGGGAAAAGAAAGGGGAAATGGCTGTTAGGCAGCTAACAGTCTCTGCTACTCATGTGATGTCGTATCTCATACCATCTTCTGAGCTCTGATAAGCAAGAAAGGGCAATAAAGAAGTTGCCTACCTATATGCTGTGATTAGGGCTGGTCAAGAAGTGGATTATGTCTCTTTGTGGTTCCTGCATTATCCTTGGCCACAGAATGAAAAAGATAACAAAGACACCAAAAAAGGTAAAAATGTGAAGACTAAAATCTTCTATAGGCTGACTCATTCCAAAGACCAATAAGAGTCTCAGCTGGGCCAAAAATACGGAGGGAACTGAAGTTGTGGTTATAAGTCAAGCAGAGAACAGTAAATCTCTGCTAGTATTTTAGTTGAAGACAGCTCCCCTTATCTTTTAAGACTAAGAATCAGCCAAGTCCCCTGATTAGAAGGGCCAGCTTATTAGGGTAAAAGTCAGGATGTGTATGCCATGATGGGCAGTTTTAAATGCTTTGAATGCCGTGTGTGTGTGTGTGTGTGTGTGTGTGTGTGTGTTCCTCAGCATGTGTTATGCACTGAAACAAGTCTGACTGACAGCTACACACCAAGTATAATAATTTGCTCTAAAAACCAGTCCCCAAGTCTGAGTCTCCCCTATCTACTTTGGATGAGGTCTTATGAATTGGGGAGGGGAGCCAGGAGCCTGCCAAGGTTGTAACATGACATTTACCCCAGAAAACGACCACATGGAGCATAATTTTGGCTTTTGCCAATCCCAGCCTCTCCCTGCACTATTTTCTTTGGTGCCTCTAGAGCCTAGAGGCCAGTCTGTGAAATTAAAACGCAGTGTCAATGGGAAAGTGATTACTATATAACGCAAAATTTAAAATTAGAATACCAAATTGTAGCTACCAAGTGACCTCAGATATATCCACATATATGTGTGTAATTATATAAAATTAGAAAACTTAATAATAGTTATCTCCAGGTGGTGGTATTTGGATGATTTTTCTTTATGCTTTTCTGCATGTCTAATTTCCCAACAATAAATATGCGCTGCTTTCATAATCAGGTAAAATCATAAGCTTTTTTTTTCTTTTTTTAATTAGTGTCATGGAAGATGCTGTCACAACAGCTGGTCTATGCACCATCTTGGGAAGGAGCATATCTTTCAAAAGTTGTTTTATTTTCATCAAGTAGTGCATTTCTCACTGGTGAAGGGGAGATTAATAAACAGATCAACACCAGAAGTTCCGTGATGATTTCCTAGGGGAAAGACTGCCCAGGGTGCTTGAGGCCTGGCTTGTTTGGCCTGCTGCTGCTCCTGGCCCTCCAGGGAACTTAACAGATTAATCACTGTGCTCCATTGGGGACTTTGCTATTTTTAGCTCTTTTGACTTCTAAACTGTGAGCAAACATGCAACAGGCTGAGTACCTTGCAGGTAGGTAACCAAGGCCCCATGAAGGGTAGCAGCCTTCCATTAAAAAGAAGACTACTTAAATCAAGAATGATGTCATATCTTAGGTAGAAAGTATTTAGAGAAGATGAAATCAAGCTAAAAACCTCTGGGATTATAGGCTATCCAGCTTTACCAGCAGCCAGAGGTGCAGGTCTTCCCTCATCATCTCTCACCACTCTCTCTATCATTTGCTAGGTTCTGTTAAAGACAGCTTCTTCTTGCTCCTCAAAAACACTGGCTGCTCATCTGGCCCCAAAATCTGCACATGGTTCATTCCTTCATTTCATGTAAGTGATGGCTCAAATGTTACCTCCTTATAGAGACCTTCTGCCTTAGTCACTTTGGGCTGCTATAACAAAACTACCATAGGCTGGGTGGCTTAACAACAGATACTTCTTCCTCACAATTCTGAAGGTT
This sequence comes from Homo sapiens, assembly GCF_000001405.40. Taxonomy (NCBI): domain Eukaryota; kingdom Metazoa; phylum Chordata; class Mammalia; order Primates; family Hominidae; genus Homo; species Homo sapiens. Next base: position 70,212,427 of record NC_000014.9, on the reverse strand, counting down.
GGGAAGTCTAAGATCAAGGTGCTGGCCTATTCAGGTTCTGGTGAGGGCCGTCTTCCTGGTTTTCTGTGGAATGCCTTCTTGCTGTATCCTCAAATGGGGAGAAGAGAGAGAAATTGCTCAGCCTCTTCATCCCCTTACAAGGGCACTAATGCCATCATGGAGGCTCTGCCTGCATGTTTTCCTTTAAACCTCATCACCCCCTAAAGGCCATACCTCCAAATACCATCACATTGCAGATTAAGGCTTCAACATATGAATTTGGGGGCCACATAGTACATAGTAGCTTCCCTAAAATTCAATCTAAATTGCCACCAAAACATATCCCACCGCAGTCACTCTCTAATACCCAGCTTGAGTTTTCTTCATATCACTGATTTTTATCTGAAGTTTTATAAAAATATACCCTACTTTACTTGTTTATTATCCCTCTCCTCCATTATACTAGAAGCATGATGCAGTGGGAATTTTCTCTTATTTACTTATGTATCTGGGCAACTAGAACACTGCCATATACAGACATACTTTGTTTTATCACACTTCATTTTATCACGTTTTGTAGGTTTATGTTTTTTACAAATTAAAGCTTTCTGGCAACCATGCATTAAGCAAGTCTATTGGCATCATTTTTTTTTTGACACAGGGTCTCACTCGGTCACCCAGTTCTGGAGCACAGTGACACTATCATAGCTCACTGCAGCCTCAACCTCCTGGGCTTAAGTGATCCTCCCACCTCAGCCTCCTGAGCAGCTGAGACTACAGTTGTGCACCACCACACCTGGCTAACTTTTTTATTTTTATTTTTTGTAGAGACAAGTTCTCACTGTGTTGCCTAAGCTAGTCTCAAGCTCCAGGGCTCAAGCAATCCTCCTGCCTCAGCCTCCCAAAATGCTGGGATTATAGGCATGAGCCACTGTGCATGGCCGTTGCATCATTTTTTCAGCAGCCTGTGCTCATGTTTGTGTCTTTGTGTCACATTTTGGTAATGCTTGCAATATTCCAAACTTTTTCATTATTATTTTATCTGTTATAGTGATTTGTGATCAGTGATCTTTGATGTTACTATTGTAATTATTTTGGGGTGCCACAAATTGCATATATGTAAGATGGCAAACCCAATTGATAAATTTTTGTATGTGTTCTGACTGCTCCACTGAGCAGCCATTTTCCCATCTCTGTCCCTCTCTTTGGGCATCCCTATTTCCTGACACACAACAATATTGAAATTAGGCCATATAGTAACTCTACAATGGCCTAAGTGTTCAAGTGAAATGATGAGCTGCACATCTCTCACTTTAAGTTAAAAGCTAGAAATGATTAAGCCAAGTGAGGAAGGCATGTTAAAACCTGAGATTCTAGGCCTCTTGTTTCAAAGAGTTAGCAAGTTGCAAATGCAAAGGAAAAGTTCTTAAAGGAAATTAAAATTGCTACTCCAGTGAACACAATAAAACATCATTATGGCTGATATGGAAAGGTTTTAGTGGTCCAGATAGAAGATCAAACCAACCACAAAATTTATTTAAGCCAAAGCCTGTTACAGAGCAAAGCCCTAATTCTCTTTAATTCTGGGAAGCCTGAGAGAGATGAGGGAGCTGCAGAGAAAAGTTGAAAGCTAACAGAGGTTGGTTCATGAGGCTTAAGGGAAGAAACCATCTTCCTAACAAAATGTATAAGGTGAAGCAGCAAGTGCTGATGGAGAAGCTGCAGCAAGTTACCCAGAAGATCTAGCTAAAATTATTGATGAAGGTAGCTACACTAAACAACAGATTTTCAATGTAGATGAAATAGCCTTACCACCTAGGACTTTCACAGCTAGAGAGGAGAAGTCAATGCCTGGCTTCAAAGCTTCAAAAGATAGGCTGACTGTCTTGTTAGGGGCTAATGCAGCTGGTGACTTAAGTTGAAGCCAATGCTCATTTACCATTCAAAAAATCTTAGTGCCCTTAAGAATCATGCTAAATCTGCTCTGCCAGTGAAAGCCTGGATGACAGCACATCTGTTTATATTGTAGTTTACTGAAGTTTTTTTTTTTTTTAGATGGAGTTTCGCTCTTGTTGCCCAGGCTGGAGTGCAGTAGTATGATCTGGGCTCACCGCAGCTCCACCTTCCTGGGTTCAAGCGATTCTCCTGCCTCAGCCTCCGGAGTATCTGGGATTACAGGCTTGTGCCATCATGCCTGGCTAATTTTGTATTTTTAGTACAGACGGGGTTTCTCCATGTTGATCATGCTGGTCTTGAACTCCCAACCTCAGGTGATCTGCCTGCCTCGGCATCCCAAAGTGCTGGGATTACAGGTGTGAGCCACCACACCTGGCCAGTTTACTGAAGATTTTAAGCCCACTATTGAGACCTACTGCTCAGGAAAAAAGATTTCTTTCAAAATATTACTACTCATTGACAATGCACCTTATCATCCAAGAGCTCCGATGGAGATGTACAGGGAGATTAATGCTGTTTTCATGCTTGTGAGTGCAACTTCCATTTTCGGCCCATAAATCAAGGAGTAATTTCAAATTTCAAGTTTTATTCTTTGAGAAATAAATTTCATAAAGCTATAGTTGCCACAGATAGTGATTCCTCTGACAGATCTGGGCAACATCAGTTGAAAGCCTTCTGGAAAGGATTCACCATTCTAGATGCCATTAAGAACATTCATGATTTATGGGAAGAGGTCAAAATATCAATATTAACAGGAGTTTGGAAGAAGTTGAGTCTAACCCTCATGGATGATTTTGAGGAGTTCAAGACTTCAGTGGAGAAAGTAACTGCACATATGGTGGAAATAGCAAGAGAACTAGAATTCGAAATGAAGCCTGAAGATGTGACTGAATTGTTGTAACCTCATGATCAAACTTGAATGGATGAGAAGTTGCTTTTTATGGAGGAGCAAAGAAAGTGGTTCTTGAGATGGAATCAACTCCTGGTATAGATGCTATCAACACTGTTGAGATGACAACAAAGGATTTAGAATAGTACATTAACTTAGTTGGTAAAGCAGTGACACAGTTTGAGAGGATTGAATTCAATTTTGAAAAAAGTTTTCCTGTCATTAAAATATCTCACTTTCTCTCTTCTCTAGGTATATACATATACACACACACACACACACACACACACACACACACACATGTCCAAACCTCATGCATATATATACATATATATGTATACACACATATATATAATATATCCACATATATTATATATAATACACATATATAATATATACATATATAATACATATAATATAAATTCAATACATTTTTGTTTTGCAAAGCAAATGCTATCAAACAGCATTGTATACTACAGAGAAATCTTTCATGAGGCGAGTCAATTGATGTGGCAAACTTTATTGTTGTCTTATTTTCTGAAATTGCCTCTACTACCCCAGCCTTCAGCAGCCACCCCTGTGATCAGTCAGCAGCCATAAACATTGAGTCAAGACCCTCCACCAGTGAAAAAGATTACAACTTGCTGAAGGCTCAGGTGATTGTTAACATTTTTTAGCAATGAAGTATTTTTAATTAAGATATGTACTTTTAAAAAGACATAATGGTATTTTGCACTTAATAGACTACAGTACAGTGCACACATACCTTTTACATGCACTGGGAAACAAAAAAAATTTGTGCAACTCTCTTTGTTCTGATCATTGTTGTGATCTTGAATTAAACCTGTAATGTCTCTGAGGTTGCCTGCATAATTGGCTTTCAAAAAGAAAATTCTGTAATCAATGAATGAATGAATAAATCATCCCCCACCCCACCTCACTTATGAAGGGGATTTTGTAGCAGCTTTACCACCTCTCTAAGTCTGGTGTTGGAGATGCACTTACCTTTCATCTCCCTCTCTCATCACCATGATGTGTCATCACTACTGAACAACATATCCCTGTCCTTAACCTCACTTTCTTTTGTTTTTGTCTAGTTCATTTCTTTCATCTTCTCCTCTGGGGAATCCCTCTAGAGCCCCAGCCTTTTTCTGAGTGTTTCCTTTGTGTTCTTTTTCATGACACAAACATATTCTTTCTGATCTGGACCTAGCCTCTGAACCTCAGAGACCATTACTAGTGTCCAAGGGCAGTGATGGGAGAAGACCTCAATGGCATCCTTGCAGCTGCAGAAACTTCTGTGGAGTTTTATGCATCCCAGGCACTTAACATGGCACTATGACAATATTTTATTCTCTTGCAGTTCTGCATTGAAACCTCTTACCAATGGGAATGCTTTTTTTTTTTTTTTTTTTTGAGCAAATAAAGACTACCAAAGACTGCAAGACTCCTCTGCAGAAAGGAGTGTACAATGGAAGAAACAATCCTGAGCTGGAAGTCAGAGCCAGGGGTTCTGATCCCAACACTCCACTAACCATGTACTCTTAAGTAAATTGCTTAATAGTTTATGAGCCTTTGTTTCCTTATCTGTCAAATGAAAGAATGTCTACCTTTGAGGATTATTATTAGTTTCTAAGGAGATGATATCTATGAACATAATTTAAAATTGTAAAATGCTACGTAAATGTCAAATAATTGTTATATATTTTCTAAGTCAAATCATACAAGATCAGGAAGCAGTTTACCTCCATTTTAGACCAATGGAGAGATTTGTCATTCTATTCTTGGTGATTACGTTTCCTATTTATCCAGGTTTCTGTCTCAGTTTGGCTATCCTACCCTCTCCCCACCCTCTCAGTGCACCATGACCATGAGGACATTCAAAGGGATGGAAGATCTTTGCTCATCTTCTGTGGAAGAGAGCATTTCTCTTGAAGAGGAGCCCTGAATTTTATGCCTTTGAAGCCCCTCTTCCTGCTGTGTTCTTCTAACCCAAGTGTGCCTCCCTAAATGAAATGTCTATGGGATACTTCAGAAAGGTAGAAAGGGCTGCCCCTGTAGCCTGTTTTTGCCAACAGTGGATAGACAATGATTGTCATGGAATAAGAAGAATGCCCTGCTTGCAGTGTTACAGCATCCTCTTTGCCTTCTTTCCCTAGATTCTGACATACGTATTCTTTTCTAGTCATAGGTTAAACTTGACATTTAGTGACCTTCTTAAAAACATATAGGCATCCTCATCTAACATCCAGCAACACATCCTTTTACTTTTTATATAATTATGACACATGTTTAGAAAGATTTTGTTGGAAGACTGTGAGCCACTCCAGAGAAATTATTTCCATGGTAGAACAGATAGGCCTTGTTTACTGATTGGATAAAGGATGAGGGAGAAGGAGGAGTCCGGCATGACATCCAGGTGTCTGGCTTGAGGAACTAGAAAGATGGCAGCACTGACTTGGGAAATATGAGAGGAAACATGTTTGGAGGGCATGGAGCACTGATGAACCTGGGGAGCTGGCATGATATTTGAAGGAGAAATCTCAGAGGCAGCTGGAGATATGCATGGGAAGCTCAGGAGGGAAGGCTGACTGGAGACACAGATTTGAGACCTTTCAGCATCTAGGTGGTTTTTGAGCCACGGGAACAGGCCAGAACACCCAGGGAGTGTGTAAAGTGAGGAGAAAAGAAGGCCAAGGGCAGAACTCTAGAGAAAATAGGTATAAAGGCCGGGTGCGGCAGCTCACGCCTGTAATCCCAGCACTTTGGGAGGCCGAGACGGGCAGATCACGAGGTCAGGAGATCGAGACCATCCTGGCTAACACAGTGAAACCCTGTCTCTACTAAAAATACAAAAAATTAGCCAGGTGTGGTGGCGGGTGCCTGTAGTCCCAGCTACTCGGGAGGCTGAGGCAAGAGAATGGCGTGAACCCGGGAGGCAGAGCTTACAGTGAGCCAAGATCACGCCACTGCACTCCAGCCTGGGCAACAGAGCGAGACTACGTCTCAAAAAAAAAAAAAAAGAAAAAAAAAGAAAAAAAAGAAAATAGCTATAAAAAATATAGACCGAAAGAGGGGAGCCCACAAAGATGTCTAAAAGAGTTGGATAGAGAAGAAAAGTAGAGCTAAGAGCATGGGTTATTGAAGGCAAAGAGAGAGTCCTTTCCGTGAATAACGTCATGACCAAGTCAGATGAGGAATAAAAAGTAGCTATAACCATGTAGTTTAAAGTAGCTTAGTCCCTTTGATGAACTTAGTCAATTGGTTGAAGCAGGTGCCAAACTTCCAGTTAAGGGTTCAGGGGAAATCGAGCCATGGATTCATGAAGGACAGCTCCTTCGAGAAAGTTGGTTTTGACAAAGCAGAGAGGGAGATGGCAATGAAGCTACATACCAAATACAATAATCTGCTCCAAAAACCAGTCCTTAGGTCTCTGAGTCCTCTCTACCCTCTTTGGAAGAGGTCTTTTGAATAATTGGGAGGGGTGGCCAAAAAACTGCTAAAGTTGTTACATTATAGTATTTACTCCAGAAACCAATCACATGGGTCTGTTGCCTTCCTGATAACCATTTGCACCCCACTCTTTTCTTTGCTAACAAAGCCCTGCTTTTGTTCAGGACATGAATCTGCCCTGCCTCAGTAGATAGATCTGATGGACATAAACTAAAAATGACAATCCCATTGCCCTTTGCCAGATACAGGCCTATAATCCCTTATCTGAAACCCCTGGGGTCAGATATGTTTCAGAATAAACTTTTGGACACTTAGAAGGGTAATAAAGTGATACAGTGCCTATGTAGTGTATGGGTTTTTTGTTTTGTTTTGTTTCGTTTTTTTGTGTTTTTTTTTGGTTGGGGACCCACTTTGTTGCCCAGGCTGGAGTGCAGTGGTGCAATTATAGTTCACTGCAGTCTCGAACTCCTGGGCTCAAGGGATCTTCCTCAACTTCCTGAGTAGCTGAGACTACAGGCATGTGTCACCACATCTGGCTAATTTTTTGTTTTTTATAGTGATGGGGTCTCATCTCACCATGTTGCCCAGGTTTGTTTCAAACTCCTGTCATTAAGCGATCCTCCTGACTTGGCCTCCCAAAGGGCTAGGGTTGCAGGCATGAGCCACCATGCCTGACCCTGTACTGTATGTCATTTAACACCACAGTAAGTGTTAGACAGCATCCTGTTTCAAACATATTAATAATTCTGTATTAAAACAGAGAGATCGTCACATTAATTATGATGAATAAGGACTATAAATAGTGTCATCTCTGTTTGGGTCAAATTTGCCAATGTATTAGTCCATTTTCACGCTGCTAATAAAGACATACCCGAGACCGGGCAATTTACAAAAGAAAGAGGTTTACTGTACTTACAGTTTCATATGGCTGGGAAGGCAAGGAAGAGCAAGTTACATCTTACATGGATGGCAGCCTGCAAAAAGAAAGCTTGTGTAGGGAAACTCCCATTTTTAAAACCATCAGATCTCATGAGATTCACTCACTATCATGAGAACAGCATCGGAAACACCCGCCTCCATGATTCGATCATCTCCCACTGGGTCCCTCCCACAACACGTGGGAATTATAGGAGCTACAAGATGAGATTTGGGTGGGGACACAGAGCCAAACCATATCAGCCACCAAATGCATTTTGGCACCAAACTTATAAAGGACTTTTAAGTTTTCAGACTTTTTTGGTTTCAGAATTGCCAATAAGAAATTATGAGCCTGTGATCATTTTTTCCAGCCTCTTCTGCAGGTAGAAGGGTCTTTGTGACCCTGATGTAGCCAATGCATTTTTTTTAAAGTCTGCTGAGGGGGCTTATTACAAATAGGGTTTATTTCTTGATAAAAGGGTATAGAACTTCCTTCCCATTTGTTTTTGCCTTGAACTTGGAGATGATATCTGGAACTCTGGTTGCCATCTCATGATCTTGCCGTTACAAGCATGAGGGGAAGTCAACAAGCTAAGGAGGGTTGAGCAGAAAGTACAGAAAGATCCTGCATCCTTGATGACAATACTGAGCTCAAATATCCTGAGATCATGTTCCTCTGGACTTATTATGATTTAAGCTGCTGTTGGTTGGGCACTTTATTACTTACAGAAGGAAGAAGAACTAAAAGAGTTGTGGGGTTGAGCAAGAACTTCTTTGAGGCTAAATATACTTGCACAAATTTTTATGTATAAATCCTTTTGTTTTTTCTTTTGTTTCCTAGTTACTGTTAATGTTATTATTATTATTTGCAAATAGACTCTTTATCAAACTATCAATGCACATTTGGGTTCATCTGTAATTTCTCTCTACAACTGTTGTAGTGAATTCTTATACTTTTATGTTGCTCCAAGTCCATTTTGAATATGAGCTGTACTATCTTATCTGAGGAGCAGGGCTCAGTCTCCCTTCACACAGTTTCCAGTTCTACTCCTTCTCCCGGTTCCTCAAGGTGGTCAATCCATTTATCTACCTTAAACAACTGCCTACTGGTGGCCACTACCCTGAGGGACAGCTAGATACAGCCTACTTACCTGGCCCCACTGACTCACCCTGAATGGACTGTGCAGATATGCAGCACTGACCACCTCTCAGTTACACAGTGAGCCCATGTAACGTGTGCCTGTTTGTTCTAAACCCACCAACTAGAACTCTCAGGAAACCTGCTTGGATAACGCCCTGACCCCAATAAGGGCTTTAGTGCCACAGATTCTCTCTCTCTGTCACCCTCTACCTGCTGGCTGGGCATGCTGCCGTTTCCAGACTTGCTGCTGGCTGTCATGGGCACCCTTCTTCTCCTATGGATCTGTGAGTAACAGAAGGTGTCTGTGATTTCCTGTGTTTTGTTATGCAGCCTCTTCTGCACATCACCTGGCACACGCACCTGAGCCTAACTCTTCTCCTGGTGTAGGCTCTCCTAGAGAGTGGCTACTGGGGAGTCCTTATGGTCAGTCTCAAGATAAAGATAAAGGTTAATTTAGAAAGATATTACAGTTTCATTAAAATCAGAAACAAGTCAAATATGTCTACTATTTCTTCTGTTATTCGATATTGTAAGTATTGGACAATCCAACAAAAAAATACAATGAAACAATCAGTATAAATATTCACATATAGCAAATTTTTAATTTTCAGATTAGATGATTGTTTTCTTAGAAAAATTAAGAAATTCTACTTTAGACCTCAGTTTCCTCATCCATGGAACTGATATAATAGTATCTGCCTTATAGAGATGTTATCAGGATTAAATGAGCTAATACACATAAAACACTTAAAACAGTGCCAGATCCATTGTAAGTTCTCCATAAATGTTAAAGATTGTTATTAAAAGAATTGAATAGGGAAACTGAATACAAAATAAAGATACAAAAATTAATAGGTTTACTTTTAGTAAACAAACTTAAATGTCACAGGGAGGAAATCCCATTTTTAATAAAAATGAAAACTATAAAATACCTAGAAATAAAATTCACAAGAAAGGCAAAAGACCTAAATAAGTAAAACTATAAAATCTTACTAAAATATGAGAAGAAGATATCTAAATGGAATGACAACTTTCTAAGATAGAATGATATATTATAAAAATGTGTATATATTTTTATATTAAATAATTATATTTTTAATTAAATTAATTTATATATTTAATTAAATTCCAACCAGAATCCCAGTTTGGGATTCTTCACACTGGATATAATAATCTTAAAGATCACTGAAAGAATATCTGAGAGGAGTACATTTTTATGGAAAGATACAAGGATGATAACTTATTATATATTACAATTAGCTCTAAATTTAATGCAATAAAAATATGGCACAGAGGGGGATAGGAGTGTATGAAAACTCTCTACTTTTTGCCCAATTTTGCTGTGGACCTAAAACTACTCTAAAATATAAAATTTATTAATTTAACATAAATAAATAACAATGCCAAAAATATAGACTTGGCCACAATATAGGCCAATAAATCAATGAAACAGAATCCAAAGTTGATTCAAGTAAATATGAGTCTTAGTATCTGACAAAGTGGGAAAGGATGATGTATTTAGTAAATCATGCTGACAGAATTGGCATGTGAAGGAAGGCAGACCAGACCCCTGCATCATACCATGCTCAAAAAATTCTAGATGAAGTAAAAATCTAAATGTAAAATATAAAATAATAGAATGAATTTTAGAAAAATATTTTTGTAAATTTAAAATTTTGTAAATTGAAAGTGGGAAGACCTTAAGCAAAAGGATCCTCCCCCAGAGCCTTTGGAAAGGACTGCCGTCCTGGTAGTACCTTGGTTTTAGGCCAGGGAGACCTGTGTTGAACTTCTAACCTGTAAAACTTAATGAATTTGCATTGCTTTAAGCCATTGAGTTTGTTGAAATTTGTTTCAGCAGCCATAGAAAACTATTAAAATGTATTAAGTATGTTAATTCCCTCATTTGAAAATCCGACTTTACCAATGTTACACAAACTTGTCCAGAGAATAAAGATAAAACACTTCCTAACTCTTCTGATGAAGCCAGAAAACCCTGATACCAAAATCGGATAAGGACATTACAAAAAAAGAAAATTATTGGCCAATCTCTGCTATGAATGTAGATACAGAAGTCCTTTACAATTTAATAGCTAACCAAATTCAGTAATACACTTAAAAAGATAATTCAACACAACCAATATGACTTTATTCCAGGAATGTAAAGTTGGTTAGTCATTAGAAAATGAGTTAATTATAATTTATCACTTTAACAGGTTAAGTAGAAATTTCATACAGTCATCTCAATAGATGCAAAGAAAGCATTTGATGAAGTTCTGTTCATCAAAAGACACAATAAAAGGAATGAAAAGGCAAGCAAAAAAGTTTATGACTAAAATAAGAGAAACCTTAAGAAACTAGGAAGAGAAGGGAACTTCCTTAATTTGATAAAGATATTCTAAAAAAATAACAAATATCATATTTAATGGGAAAATATTGAAAGCATTTCCATTGAGATCAAGAAAGAAACAAAGATTCTTGCTATGTCCACTTCTATTTATTGATGTATTTGAGATCCTAGTCATTGCAAAAATAAAAGATTTGAAAGGAAGAAATGTGTAAGCATAGTTATGTATGAGGGAAAAAAACCTAAACAATCTACAAACTTTTAGAATTAAAGTAAATTTAACAATGTTGCTGGATACAAAATCAGTTTACAAAAATCAATTTAATTTTTAATCATAAGAAACAATTTTACATAAAATTTTGTTTAATTAGAAGAAAAAGAAAATAATACCATTTATGTGACATCACAGAACCCAAATACCTAGGAATACATCTAAAGAAACACAGTTGTCTCAATAAATATGGGGAATGAGTTCCAGGAACCCCTGCATATACACAAATCCAGGCATACTCAAGTCCTGCAAGTTGGCCCTGTGGAACATGCATATGTGAAAAGTTGGCCCTCAGTATAGGCAGGTCTCACATCCTGCAAATACTGCATTTTTTATCTGCTTTTGGTTGAAAAAATATATACATATAAGTGGATCCTCAAAATTCAAACCCCTGTTTTTCAAGGGTCAACTGTGTGCAAGACCTGTACATTGAAAATGTTAAGACATCACTTGGAGAAATTAAAGATCTAAATAAATAAATATTCCATGTTCATAGGTCAGAAGACTCAATATTGTTAAGATGTCAATTCTCTCCAATGTGATCTATAAATTCAGTGCAATCTTAATTAACTTCCCAGCTGGCATTTTTACAAAAACTGACAAGCTGATTCTAAAATTTATGTGTAATTGCAAAGGGCCAAAAATAACCAAGATACTCATGAAGAAGAACAAAGAATAAACACTCATTCTACCAGATATTAAAATTTCTTGTAAGCTACAGTAATTAAGACAGTGTGATGTCGATACAAGAGGAGAGAAATAAACCAATGAAACAGAGTAGAGAGTCCATAAATAGACCCATACATACACAAAACTTGATTCATAGGAAAGGTGACATTGCAGGTAAAATGAACTCTCTTTAATAAATTCTACTGGGTCATTTATATATTCATATGGAAGAAATAAAATTCCACCCCTACTTCATATTAAATGCAAAAATGCAATCCCAGAAGAATTGTAGATCTAAATTTTAAAGTTAGAAAGTAAGAGTTCTAGAAGCTAACACAGAAAAATATCTTCATAACCTTGAGTAGACAAAGGAACATGAACCAGACAACATTTAGGATAAAAAAGAAAAAACATGATAAATAGACTACATTAAAAGTAAGAACTTCTGTTCATCAAAAGACACAATAAAAGGGATGAAAAGGCAAGCCACTAACTGGGAGAAGATATTTGCAATGTGTATGATGACAGAAGACTCATCCAGAATATGTGAAGAACCTTCACAAATCAATAAGAAAAAGACCTTATGGAAAAATAGGCCACAAACTTGAGCAAATACTTAACAAAAGAGGGCATCCAAAGCCAATACGTGTATGAAAAAGTTTCCACTTCAGTAGTCACTAGGAAAGTGTAAATTCAGTAGGTGGTTTTCCCCTGACAGTGCTAAGGAGGCTGGGAGGTCCGGACTGGGTGGAATTCACCACAGCCCAGTAAAGCTGCTGTGGCCAGACTGCTTCTCTAGATACCTCCTCACTGGGCAGGGCATCTCTGAAGGAAAGGTAACAGCCCAAGTCAGGGGCTTACAGACAAAACCCCCATCTCCCTTGGACAGAGCACCTGGGGAAAGGAGCGACTATGGGCACAGCTTCAGCAGATGTAGTCACTCCTGCCTGCTGGCTCTGAAGGGAGAACCTGATCCTGATAAGAGGGATTCTCCCAGCACAGCACACCAGCTCTGCTAAGGGACAGACTGCCTCCTCAAGTGGGTCCCTGACCCCCGTGCCTCCTGACTGAGAGAGACTTTCCTACAGGGGTCGACAAACACCTCATACAGGAGAGCTCCAGCTGGCATCAGGCTGGTTCCTCTCGGGGATGAAGCTTCCAGAGGAAGGAAAAGGCAGCAATCTTTGCTGTTCTGCAGCCTCCACTGGTGATACCCAGCTGAACAGGGTCTGGAGTGGACCTCCAGCAAACTGCAGCAGACCTACAGAAGAGGGTCCTGACTGTTAGAAGAAAAACTTACAGACAGAAAGCCCTAACATCAACATCAACAAAAAGGAACCCCATACATAGAAACTCCATCCAAAGGTCATCAGCCTCCAAGATCAAAAGTAGGTAAATCCACAAAGATGAGGAAAAACCTGCATAAAAATGCTGAAAATTCCAAAAACCAGAATGTCTCTTCTTCTCCAAATGATCGCAACTCCTGTCCAGAAGGGCACAAAACTGGATGGAGAATGAGATTGATGAACTGACAGAAGTAGGCTTCAGGTCGTGGGTAATAGAAGACTCCTTGGAGCTAAAGGAGAATGTTCTAACCCAATGCAAGGAAACTAAGAACCTTGATAAAAGGTTACAGGAACTGCTAACTAGAACAACCAGTTTAGAGAGGAACATAAATGACCTGATGGAGCTGAAAAACACAGCACGAGAACTTCGTGAAGCATACACAAGTATCAGTAGTGGAATCGATCAAGGAGAAGAAAGGATATCAGACATTGAAGATCAACTTACTGAAATAAGGTGTGAAGACAAGATTAGAGAAAAAAGAATGAAAAGGAATGAACAAAGCCTCCAAGAAATATGGGACTATGTGAAAAGACCAAACCTACAATTGATTGGTGTACCTGAAAGTGATGGGGAGAATAGAAGCAAGCTGGAAAACACACTTCAGTGTATTATCCAGGAGAACTTCCCCAACCTACCAAGACAGGCCAACATTCAAATTCAGGAAATACAGAAAACACCACTAAGATATTCTTCAAGAACAGCAACCCCAAGACACATAATTGACAGATTCTCCAAGGTTGAAATGAAGGAAAACATGTTAAGGGCAGCCAGAGAGACAGGCCAGGTTACCTACAAAGGAAAGCCCATCAGATTAACAGTGGCTCTGTCTGCAGAAACCCTACAAGCCAGAAGAGAGTAGGGGGCAATCATCATTCTCAGTAAACTATCGCAAGAACAAAAAACCAAACACCGCATATTCTCACTCATAGGTGGGAATTGAACAATGAGAACACATGGACACAGGAAGGGGAACATCACACTCTGGGGACTGTTGTGGGTTTGAGGGAGGGGGGAGGGTTAGCATTGGGGGATATACCTAATGCTAGATGACGAGTTAGTGGGTGCAGCGCACCAGCATGGCACATGTATACATATGTAACTAACCTGCACATTGTGCACATGTACCCTAAAACTTAAAGTATAATAATAATAAATAAAAATTAAAAAAATTTAAAAAAATAAAAAAATTTAAAAAAAAAGAAAAGAAAATAATTTTCAACCCAGTATTTCATATCCAGCCAAACAAAGCTTCATAAGTGAAGGAGAAATAAAATCCTTTACAGACAAGCAAATGCTGAGGGATTTTGTCACTAGCAGGCCTGCCTTACAAGAACTCCTGAAGGAAGCACTAAATATAGAAAGGAAAAACTGGTACCAGCCACTGCAAAAACATACCAAAATATAAAGACCAATAACACTATGAAGAAACTGCATCAACTAAAGTGCAAAGTAACCAGCTAGCACCATGATGACAGGATCAAATTCATACACAACAATATTAACCTTAAATGTAAATGGGCCAAATGCCCCAATTAAAAGACACAGACTGGCAAATTGGATAAAGAGTCAAGACCCATCAGTGTGCTGTATTCAGGAGACCCATCTCACATGCAATGACACACATAGGTTCAAAATAAAGGATGGAGGAATATTTACCAAGCAAATGGAAAGAAAAAAAAAAGCAGGGGTTGCAATCCTAGTCTCTGATAAAACAGACTTTAAACCAACAAAGATAAAAAAAGATAAAGAAGGGCATTACATAATGGTAAAAGGACCAATGCAACAAGACTAGCTAACTATCCTAAATATATATGTACCCAATACAGGAGCACCCAGCTTCATAAAACAAAAAGTGACTTAGACTCCCACACAATAATAGTGGGAGACTTTAACACCCCACTGTCAATATTATACAGATCAACGGGACAGAAAATTAATAAGGATATTCAGGACTTGAACTCAGCTCTGAACCAAGCAGATCTAATAGACACCTACAGAACTCTCCACCCCAAATCAATAGAATATACATTCTTCTCAGCACCACATAGCACTTATTCTAAAATCAACCACATAATTGGAAGTAAAACACTCCTCAGCAAATGCAAAAGAACAGAAATCATAACAGTCTGTCAGACCACAGTGCAATCAAATTAGAACTCCACATTAAGAAACTCACGCAAAACCACACAACTCCATGGAAATTGAAGAACCTGCTCCTGAATGACTACTGAAATAAAGAAGTTCTTTGAACCCAATGAGAACAAAGAGACAATGTATCAGAATCTCTGGAACACAGCTAAAGCAATGTTAAAAGGGAAATTTATAGAATGAAATGCCCACATCAGAAGGCTGAAAAGATCTAAAATCGACACCCTAACATCACAATTAGAATAATTAGAGAAGCAAAAGCAAACAAATTCAAAAGTAGCAGAAGGCAAGAAATAACTAAGATCAGAGCAGAACTGAAGGAGATACAAACACGAAAAACCCTTCCAAAAAAAATCAATGAATCCTGGAGCTGTTTTTTTTGAAAAGATTAACAAAATAGATAGACCACTAGCTAGACTAATAAAGAAGAAAAGAGAGAAGAATCAAATAGACACATTAAGAAATGATAAAGGGGATATCACTACTGTTCCCACAGAAATACAAACTACCATCAGAGAATACCATAAACACCTCTATGCAAATAAACTAGAAAATCTTGAAGAAATGGATAAATTCCTGGACACATAAACCATCCCAAGACTAAACCAGGAAGAAGTCAAATCCCTGAATAGACCAATAACAGGTTCTGTAATTGACGCAGTAATTAATAGCCTACCAACCAAAAGAAGCCCAGGACCAGATGGAATCACAGCCAAATTCTACCAGAGGTACAAAGAGGAGCTGGTGCCATTCCTTCTGAAACTATTCCAAACAATAGAAAAAGAGGGACTCCTCCCTAACTCATTTTATGAGGCCAGCATCATCTTGATACCAAAACCTGGCAGAGACACAATAAAAAAAGAAAATTTCAGGCCAATATCCCTGATGAACATCAGTGCGAAAATCCTCAATAAAATTCTGGCAAACTGAATCCAGCAGCACATCAAAAAGCGTATCTACCACAAGCAAGTCAGCTTCATCCCTGGGATGCAAGCCTGGTTCAACATATGAAAATCAATAAACGTAATTCATCACATAAACAGAACCAATGACAAAAACCACATGATTAACTCAATAGATGCAGAAAAGGCCTTTGATAAAATTCAACATCCCTTTATGCTAAAAACTCTCAATAAACTAGGTATTGATGGAACATATCTCAAAATAATAAGAGCTATTAATGACAAACCCATAGCCAATATCATACTGAATGGGCAAAAGCTAGAAGCATTCCCTTTGAAAACCGGCACAAGATAAGGATGCCCTCTCTCACCACTCCTATTCAACACAGTACTGGAATTTCTGGCCAAGGCAATCAGGCAAGAGAAAGAAATAAAGGATATTCAAGTAGGAAGAGAAGAAGTCAAATTGACTGTTTGCAGATGACATGACTGTATACTTAGAAAACCTTATCATCTCAGTCTGAAACTCCTTAAGCTGATAAGCAACTTTAGCAAAGTCTCAGGATACAAAATCAGTGTGTGAAAATCACAAGCATTCCTATACACCAACAATAGACAAGCAGAGAGCCAAATAATGAGTGAACTCCCAATCGCAATTGCTACAAAGAAAATAAAATACCTAGGAATACAACTTATAAGGGATGTGAAGGACCTCTTCAAGGAGAACTACAAGCCACTGCTCAAGGAAAGAAGAGAGGACACAAACAAATGGAAAAACATTCCATGCTCATGGACAGGAATAATCAATATCATGAAAATGGCCATACTGCCCAAAGTAATTTACGGTCTCAATGCTATTCCCATTAAGCTACCATTCACTTTCTTCACAGAACTAGAAAAAACTACTTTAAATTTCATATGGAACCAAAAAAGAGTCCATATAGCCAAGACAATTCTAAGCAAAAAGAACAAAGCTGGAGGCATCACACTACCTCACTTCAAAGTATACTACAAGGCTACAGTAATCAAAACAGCATGGTACTGATACCAAAACAGATATATAAACCAATGGAACAGAACAGAGGCCTCAGAAATAACACCACACAACTACAACCATCTGATCTTCGACAAACCTGACAAAAACAAGCAATGGGGAAACAATTCCTCATTTAATAGATGGTGCTGGGAAAACTGGCTAGCCATCTGCAGAAAACTGAAACTAGACCCCTTACTTACACCTTATACAAAAATTAACTCAAGAGGGATTAAAGACTTAAATGTCAAACCCAAAACCATAAAAACCCTAGAAGAAAACCTAGGCAATACCATTCAGGACATAGGTGTGGGCAAAGACTTCATGACTAAAACACTAAAAGCAATGGCAACAAAAGCTAAAATTGACAAACGGGATCTAATTAAACTAAAGAGCTTCTGCACGGCAAAAGAAACTATCATTAGAGTGAACAGGCAACCTACAGAATGGGAGAAATTTTTTGCAATCTATCCATCTGACAAAGGGCTAACATCCAGAAACTACAAGGAACTTAAACAAATTTACAAGAAAAAAGCAAACAACCCCATCAAAAGTGGGTGAAGGATATGAACAGATACTTCTCAAAAGAAGACGTTTATGTGGCCAAAAAACATGAAAAAAAGCTCATCATCACTGGTCATTAGAGAAATGCAAATCAAAACCAAAATGAGATACCATCTCACACCAGTTAGAATGGTGATCATTAAAAAGTCTGGAAATATCAGATGCTTGCAAGGATATGGAGAAATAGGTACGCTTTTACATTGTTGGTAGGAGTGTAAATTAGTTCAACCACTGTGGAAGAGAGTGTGGCGATTCCTCAAGGATCTAGAACAAAATACCATTTGACCCACCAATCCCACTACTGAGTACATACCCAAAGGATTATAAATCACTCTACTATACAGACACATGCACACATATGTTTATTGTGGCACTATTTGCAGTAGCAAACACTTGGAACCAGCCCAATGCCCACCAATGATAAACTAGGTAAAGAAAAATGTGGCACATATACACAATGGAATACTACGCAGTCATAAAAAGAATGAGTTCATATACTTTGCAGGGACATGGATGAAGCTGGAAGCCATTATTCTCAGCAAACTAATACAAGAACAGAAAACCAAACACCACATGTTCTCACTTGTAAGTGGGAGTTGAACAATGAGAAGGCATAGGGAGGGGGACATCACACATGGGGGCCTGTCAGTATTTGGGAGGCCAGGGGAGGGAGAGCATTTAGGACAAATACCTAATGCATGCGGGGCTTAAAACTTAGATGATGGGTTGATGGGTGCAGCAAACTACCAGGGCAATGTATACCTATGTAACAAACCTGCATGTTCTGCACATGTATCCCAGAATTTAAAGTAAAATTTTTTAAAAGTGCAAATTAAAGCCACAAATTAAAGTCAAATTTATACCCACCAGAATGACTAATTTTAAGTAGTCTGACAATACTAAGTGCTGAGAAGAATGTGATCAAACAATCTTGGAGAGGGAGAGTGTAGGCAAATGTTCACAGCAGCATTATTCAAAAAATAAAAAACCAGAAACAATTTAGATATCAAGAGCAGAATAAAAAGTTGAGTTGCATATTCATTCAAAGGAAACTATACATAAATGAAAAATCACAAATTGCTGCTACACACAACAATATGAATGAACATCACCAAAATTATGCTGAGCAAAGAACCCCCAAAACAGTACTTTCCATCTGCTTCCATTTACGTAGAGTTCAAAGTCACATAAGATTAATGTGTGGTTTTAGAAGTCAGGAGAGCCGTTCCCTCTGGAGAAGAGGAAGAAGCATCGCTGGGAGAGGCACGAGGGGAGCTGCTGGGGTACTGGTAATATTTATTGTTCTGGATGATGATTAAATAAAATATATTCACATTGTGAAAATTCTTTGAGCTATAGTCATGACTTGTGCACATTTCTGTATGTATATCCTACTGCAATAAACTTTATAAAAGGAAAAATAAATAATTGACAAATTTTTGAAATACAAGTTATAATGAGATTAAAAATAATATAACGCATAGGGAAGAATTATGTCTCACTAAATAAATACCCTATTATCAGACAGGGTTTACTAAACTTCCATCCTCCCTACAGAGCTGTTCCAGAACTTACTTTTAGCTTCCACTTGACTGCTGTTGTTTCTCAACTGCTATCAGATTGTATAGTCCAAGGGCTGTGGAATGCTGGCACCTAGGTTGCTTGTGAGAAGAGACACTGTGGCTTGTGTGGGATGCAGTGCCACTGGTGGCCAGGACTGGCAGGTCGTCTGCTTATGAAGTGCCTGAGGCCCCGCTTTTGGAGAGGCACTGACTTGTGGAGTTCTGCAGCATAATGGCAAATACTGGGGCCCCACCAAGAAGCCATGTGGTCCCTTCCCACTATTCATCCCATCTGCCCTATTACTTGCTGCTCAGCCTCTAGAGAAAGGGTATTCTATGACAAGGACTCACAGAATTAGGGCTACTATGACAAAATACCAAAGACTGAGTGGCTTAACTAACAGAAATTATTTTCTCATAGTTCTGGAGCCTAGAACTCCCACATCAAGGTGTCAGCACATTTGATTTCTCTCTCCTTGGCTTGCCTTCTCGCTGTGTCCTCACAAGGTTGTCCCTCTGTCTGTCTGTGTCCTAATCTCCTCTTCTTATAAGGATAGCAGTCATAGTGGATTAGGGCCCACACTGACGGCACTGTTTTAATTTTATTACCTTTTTAAAGACCCTGTCTCAAAACCCAGGCACATTCTGGGTACTAAGGGCTAGGGCTTCAACACACAAGTTTTGGGACACACAATTCAGTCCATAAAAGAGTCTGTCTAGTTCTTACCAAGCTCTGTGACTGGGCTGAATCCTGTAGCTTCTCGGGTCCTGAGTTTCTTCCCAACTTGAAAATGAGGTTTGTGGCTCTTGCTCCCAATGCTGATGTTACACAGCTTACTTTCCATCTTCCTTGTGAACATCTCCTTGGGTTCCAGTACAGCTAGATATAAGTAACAATGGCAGAAATGCAAGTACGGTGTCATTACATTTAATGTTTTCCAACCCTGTATGCATGTAGTGGGGAGAAAAAAAGAAGTGAGAATGTCCAGAGTTGAAAGCAGTCTGAGACTTCATAGGCCACGTGAAGGTTGGCTGTAGAACTTAAGATGGGAGAGAAGCAGGGTTGGGGGAGAACAAAAGTAGGGGAGAAGGAGAATTGATATATATTTGGGGATTGGTCTGTACCAGAAACTGTAATCTCACTGAAGCTTCACAACAACCTCACGAGGTGGGTATTATTATTATTAATAATAATAATTAATAATAATAATAATAATTATTATTATTATTAATAATAATAATTATTATTATTCCCATTTTACTGGTGAGGACACTGAGGCTCAGAATGCAGAGCTGGGCTTTGCTATTTCAGTCTACCTAGAACTCAGAGGAACCTACGCAAGTCAGCTCTGCCGACAGCGTTGGTTGAACATGCTTTGGCACCTCTTGCCTTCCTCCCCGCAGCATTGCCCTGTCACAGGTGACAAGAGGAAGACAAGGTTCCTGTCTGTTTTGTTTGGTAGTTCTAAAAAAATGACATGACCAATTCTGTTGTTGTTGCTGGTTCAGTTTTAGTGAATAGGTAATGTTCACTGAAAATATATCAATAGATATTAACAAGCAAACAAATAAAATTCTGGCACAAGCAAAACTAAGCCACAGTGACAGAAAGCAGATCAATAGTTGCCTGTGGGAAGAGCGGATGAGTATAAAGGGGCCTGAGAGGACTTCTGGGGGAGATGAAAATGTTCTATGTCTTGACTGAGGTTGTTGCTCTACATGTATGTACTTGTATAAAAACTCTTCAAACTATACACTTAAAACAGGTGAGTTTTTAGTAGTAGTAGTGATGTTTGGATACCTGTAACTTTATCTCCATTAGAAATGTCAGATATTTTAATATCATCAGTTAGTTTTTGCAGGTATCTTGAAATATTATTCATGTTCCTCACTACTGGGATAGTTTTGCAGATTCATGTTCCTCACTACTGAGATAGTCATTTAGCCTGTGCACTAGACCTTGCTTTTGATGCCTTCATAAAGCATAGATCAGAAAAAAGGTGAGTTGTTGTATGTAAATTACACCTCAATAAAGTTGATTGATACAAAGAGAAACAAAATCACCAGAAATCCCACCACCAAGAGATAACCACTACCATTTTGGGGTTTTTATGCTGCCAGGGCATTCATCCCCACCCCGCCACCCCCGCACATGCTGTGTTACACTGTGTTCTGGGGTTTTTTTTCTCTCTGTCTACGATATATTATAAAAACCTTTCCACACCAGTACACAGAATGCTGCATCTGTATTTTTACAGTGGTAGAATACAGCATTATGTCAACAAAACATGTTTACTTCACCAATTTGTTGTGTTGGAAAATTAAGATGTTTCCAATTTTTCACTCTTAAAAACACTACCATGAATATCCTTGTAACTAAATATTTGAGCATATCCTTAATGATTGCCATAGAATAAATTTCTTCCAGTAAAATTACTGGGTCACAGGCATTCACGTTTTTAAGGAATTTGATGTATCTTTCAAAATTGCCCTACCTAAAAACTCTATCAATTTAGGTGCCCATTAGCCATCTCTTTGTCTCTACTGTAGACTCTCAATGTGTAGACTCAGCATTGTGACTCTCCACGGGAGCAGACACAAGGTAAGTCCCAGTAACTGACATATCCTGAGATCCCACAACTTTAGAAGCTATTGAAACCTTTCAAAGTCAGTCCCAGCCCTAACTTTAAATGAAATTCAAGACCCATAAAGGTTCAGGGGTCTGAAAGCACTCCTACTGCTCCTACTGAGCACATCCAGGATTCTGACTCCGGACTCAGGCCAGAAACCACCACACAGCTTGCTAACGGAACACTGAGTCAAAGGACCAGCAAAGACCTCCTGCCATCTCAGGCTTAGAGATTCCCTAGTCTCTACACCCCCTTAATCTGTTTGAACCAAGCCTTGCTCCAGAGCAGCCGGGCAAAGGAGCCAGGGATCTCAGGAGTCACACACACTGTTGACGTCTCAGCACAACTCCGGTTGGTTGCATTTTATTTCAATCCTTGGCTCTGCTGCACGTGGCCTTGGGATGGTTATTTAACCTAAGGCTCAATTTCCTCAACAAAAAAATGGAGTTGGTAATTGTACCTAGCTCACAGAGTTTTAGTAGGATGGCATGAGGTAATACAATCAAATTCACTAGCACCACTCCTGGCCCTTAAAAGGTGCTGCTATTTGGTAAGTATTATTATCATTTGTTGGCCCCTCACACTTAGCCTCAGGCAGCAGAGAGGCCTGAAAGAGAACAACTTCCTGCCCTTACATTCTGACTTTTCTGCACTGGTGTCGCTACAGAAGGCCAGCCACCAGGCTCATTTTAGATCTGCCTAATGCCACCGATAAGCTGAGGGCTTGAAACCCCATTCTTAGGAGTGGCTTGCCCACCCCGCATGCCTCTAGGACCAAGCCTGACAAATATAGCAGAAATTACAGGCATCTGATTTAAGGCTACGTGTGTACACTTCGCCTGAGCCAAGCCCCAAGCCCTAGTCCCGCTGCTGCATCAAAGGACCAGCTCTCTTCCAGCCTCCAGGCCCAGAGTAAGCAGCAATTTGGGAGGCAGCCCCCTCTTATTTTTAGCTTTAGAAACCCGAAAAGCCAACATACCAGAGCTCACCCAAGCGTCTCTCACAAACTGTTGTTTGACTTGGGTTGAGAAAATGACAGGCTGGGTTCTGCACCAAGAAGAGAAGAAAAAAAGAGGGGGAAAAAAGGAGTTTTCTTTTCCCTCCGCTGCCAATCTCCATCCCCCTCAACTCCTCCCCTAGGCCTGGGTGGACCCTGCCTGGGTAATAGTTCCCTGCTATATTTAAAAACCACAGATGTGTTTGGTGGAGACTTAATTTCGGAATTGCAGGCAGCGTCTCCTGAGGACAAGGGGAAAGCCGGTGCCGCGCGCCCGCCTGCTGCCTGGAGCTCCCAACTCGGCGGAATCCAGGTCAGGACGCGCCGCCGTTTTGACGTGCTGCCGGCCGGGAGGCGCGGGCGCCAGGCTCCAACGACTAGGGTGGGTGGCCGCGGGGCAGGGGTTGGATCTGAATTCGTCCCTCGGGGGCTCTGGATGCGGGATGCGGGATGCGGGATGCGGGCTCGACTTCCTCGCTGCTGGTCGAGGAGCGTTCTGAGAGTCTCCCCTCCGCGCGCGAGGATAAATATGCGCGGCTTGTCAGTCAGTGCGGCGCTGTCTCCCAGCTGATAGGGTGACGTTCCGTTTGGAGGCTTGGAGATTGGCTTTTTGATTTGGCTTCTTCCGGCAGCTTAATGGGCAAAGCTCTCCGCTCGCCCAGAAACCAGCCTCTCCGCGCGTCCCCTCTGCGCGCGGCGAGGCCGAGACGTCTCCCGCGGTGACAGCGTGCAAGGCGGAGACCCGGCGCGCTCCCAGCCCAGGGAAAGCCCAGGCGACGCGACCGCAAGCCCGAGCCCAGGTCCCTCGGAGCCGCCAGGGCGCGCCGGGCTGCTTGCCTTCCTGCCCCTTCCTGCAGGAATCCCCCGCCGCCCGCGGCCGGGACTCCGGGCCTCTCCCGGGCGTAGATTCCAGTCACCGCTCTGGGTCGGGGTTTCCCTCTTTCTGAAATCCGTGCGGAAGGACCCCTCCCGGGGCCCCTCGCCCTGGCCCCAGACACCCTCCCTCCCAGACCCCGCGCTCCAGATGCGCTGCCCCGCAGCTCCCTGACAGCTGCGAGCCCACGAACCCCGGCGGGAGGGCGGCGGCGGCGGACTGACATGCCCCGGACGCGGCTGCGGCCGGCGGGCAGCCCGCGGGGGCGATGAGCCGCTGCGACCGGTGAGGCGCCGGGCGGCGGGGGCATCGCGTACCTTCCTCACCCCCCTCCCTTGCCCACTCCGCTCGGGAGGCCGAGAGGAAACGGTGAGTAATGGGGTGAGCCTCCTGCCCTTCCCCCTTAGCGGGCAGCCGAGACATGGGAGGTAGAGGTTGGGGGGCTTGGGATGCCCCTAAGAGGATCCCTGATTGTGAGTAACGGGGTTAAGTTATTTCTCAAGATCATTCATATGAACCGCCTTCCTGTGGATTTAGTGCCAGGAGAAGTGGGGTGAGGGTGCCCCGGAAAGTGTACATTGTGTATGCAGTGTTGGGGGGGCAGATCTGGCAGAGTGGGTGTCTACAGGAGGGTGCCGCCGGGTGGGGAGGGGCAGAGAGAGATGCCTGGGCAGGTGGGTACAGTTGGATCGTGAGCATGCTGGGTTGGTAGCGGGTGCTGTTTGGGGAGACTGACTGCTGTGTTGTGTGTGCTGGATGCATGTCGGCATATGTGTGCCACCTGGGCCAGGGCGTGTTGTGCTTCTGGTGCTGTGAGTGTCCGCCGGGTTTGGGGGCTAGCAGGGAAGCGCGTTATCCACTCGGCGCGCGCCCGCGTGCACATACGCACGCACGCGCTCACCCCAATCTCGGGACTCCACCGCCGCGGGTCGGGAGCTGCAGCCCCAGAGCACCCACCGCTGGGGCCAAGGGGGCGAGGGAGAAGGAGGGTTTCTCCAGTGCTGCACTCTCCAGCCCCTGGTGGTCTGCGTGATCCGGGACTCGGTGGAGAGAATCGAAATATATAACTAACCCTCCCCCGATCCCCCAACACACACGCGCGCGCGGACACACACACACACACACACACACACACACACACACACACAGTCAAAGCCCTGATTCAGAGGCTAGCGCTGCTGCTCCTACAGGCCCTGGCTGACCTGCCCAGAGGACCCGAGCCACTGGGAAAGATGATGAAAGCAATTTGCTCCGGGGAAAAAAGCAGTTCTTCGTCTTAATTCATTGTATTTTATTTTTAACGGTGTGGTAGTGGTGGTGGTGGCGGGGTGGGGTTAAATAGAAGAAATGCCTTTAATGCAGTACCATAAATTTACCCGCTCATCGCAGCTTCCTTCTCTCTCTCTCTCTCTCTCCCCCCGCCCCCCGCTTCTCTTCTCTTCTCTCCTCCTTTCCTCTCTCTCTCTCTCTCTCTTTCTCTCTCTCTCCCCCTTTCCTGGCGATTAAAAAACATACCTCCGAACGCATTCGGCGGTTAGGTCTCCCGGGCAGAAGAATTAAAACTGGTTTCAATTTATCAGAAACGCAGACTGCAGCAGGCGCAGCCAAGCTCCTGGGTGGTCAAGAAACACCCGAAGGGGGTGGGGGGAGGAGGGAGTTGAGCGGGGGTGGAATGTGGGTACGTGATAGGAACACATCCGGCCTTCCGGTGGGGCACCAAAAGGGAAGCCTCCTCGGCCCCTGGCGACCCGGTGACTTGCAGCGGCGTGTGATTAATCTTCCACAGCTGTCGTGCCCCATCCACTTGAGCTGAGCTCTTGTTTACCTCGATTTTCAAATATAGCTGCTGCGCCATGCTCTTCCTGAAATAGGGGGATCAGTTCACCCTTTATGGGCTCTTGGCTTCGGGCTGGGGCTTCTTTTTGCTGGCGTCACTGGCTGGATCCAAGTTTGAGAGGAACCTGCCCCTTCATGCATTGCAGGTCTCCAAAGGAGGATGGCTGATGGTCAAAGCTTAGGGTAACTAGATGTGGACTGATCAACCCAGCCCCTCATTGCAATCTACAATGCCCAGCAGCAGTCCCCACACACAAGTCCACTTTGTAGCCTCCTTTTTCTTTAAATGAAATGTAGATACTGGGTTGAGAGGAAGCAGATAAGGCCTATAGAACTGAACTTGGTTGAAGTGGTTCTTTCTTTAACTTGATGGAGAAGGGAAGGCCATTCATGCAGTTTCCTCCGCTTGGAATGCTTTATTCTTCTTCCAACATACTCCTAAAGTACTCCTACTCAAGCTTCAGCTCTCAGCTCACTAGTTACTTCCTCAAGGAAGCCTTTCATATTCTCCCTGACTAGGCCACATCCCTGCTTATTATACACCTGTATTAGTCCGTTCTCACACTGGTAATAAAGACATACCCAAGACTGGGTAATTTATAAAGGAAAGAGGTTTAATAGAGTCACAGTTCCACAGGGCTGGGGAGGCCTTAGGAAGTTTACAATCATGGTGGAAGGGGAAGCAAACATGTCCTTCTTCACATGGCGGCAGCAAGAAGTGACGAAAAAAAGGGGGAAAAGCCCCTTACAAAGCCATCAGATCTTGTGAGAACTCACTGTCACAAGAACAGCAGCATGGGGGTTACTGCCCCCATGATTCAATTACTTCCCTGGCTTCCTCCCAGGACACGTAGGGATTATAGGAACTACAATTCAAGATGAGATTTGGGTGGGGACACAGCCAAGCCATATTTGGCCGTGGAGTCCATTGGACTCCAAAAGAAAAATATTTGTTTATTCATTCGGTTAGCCATTTATTCAATAAATATTCAACAGCCACCTACTCTGTCAGGCATGTGCTAAGTCCAGATGCAAATAAAATAGAATGGACCCTTTTCTCATAAACACTCATAATCTGAACTTATATTTTTGAAGTAATTTAAAGACGCCCATTAAATTTATGTATGTGATTAAGTAATGCCAGGCACACCTCTAGATAACAGACTCCACAAAGGGAGGAAACTGTGTCCCCAAGGCCTAGCACTGTGCCCGGCATGGGATAGGTGCCCAGTAAATGTTGGTTGAATGAGTGGAATTGGAGGAACAATTACATTCTTTCCTTCTCTGTTCCTGCTCTTCTGAGCTCTCCTTTACACTGCCACCTACAGCTTCCTGGTCGGAGAAGGGAGAATATGCTTACTGAACTGACCCTGTTAAAACTATTCCCATGCCCTGTGCTCCCCCAGGGGATGGGACCCTAAAGCCGATAGGTTGTCCTCTTGCCCTGGCCCTGCCCTTTGCCTGTGCAGGATGGTTCCTCTTGCATTCTCTGGGCACAGTTGTTGATATTACTTATGGGCACTGATAGTAGGCATGTTCCCCAGCCTGCATGATTCAGTCATTGCCCATGATCAGG
The DNA here is from genome assembly GCF_000001405.40 of Homo sapiens. NCBI lineage: Eukaryota > Metazoa > Chordata > Mammalia > Primates > Hominidae > Homo > Homo sapiens. The sequence goes on along the minus strand of NC_000014.9, from coordinate 70,185,335 downwards.
ATTTGGGAAATGTGTCACACATCTGGACTTCTTTTCAAACTATTGAGATTAGATAAAAAGAAAGGAATAGGATGGGCGTGGTGGCTCACGCCTGTAATCCCAGCACTTTGGGAGGCCGAGGCAGGCGGATCACCTGAGGTCAGAAGTTCGAGACCAGCCTTGCCAACATGGTGAAATCCCGTCTCTACTAAAAATACAAAAATTAGCTGGGCATGGTGGCAGGCACCTGTAATCCCACTTACTCAGGAGGCTGAGGCAGGAGAATCGCTTGAACCTGGGAGGCAGAGGTTGCAGTGAGCCGAGAATGAGCCACTGCACTCCAGCTTGGGCGACAGAGCAAGACTCCATCTCAAAAAAAAAAAAAAAAAAGAAAAGAAAAAAAAGAAAGGAATAACCCCCTTCACTTAAGCCTGGTTGCTTTGCCTAAGAGGTTCAAATACGTGCTGAGGCTCAGAAAAACATTGAACTCCAAAAGAAAAAGCATTCATTTATTCATTCAGCTAGCCATTGATGCAATAAATATTCAACAGCCACCTACTCTGACAGGCATGTGCTAAGTACAGAGGCAAATAAAATAGAATGGCCTCTTTCCTCATAAACACACATTCCAGCAAGGATAACCAGCTAGTGAATGGACAATTACTGTATAAAGTGATTTATGCCAGTAGAGGGTAAACCCCATGATAATGGAAGCATATAGGAGGAGCACCTCTTCCTATGGGCTTAATGAGGACTTGTAGGGACAGCTAAGCCCAGAAAGGGAGGATAGGTAGGAGTTAGCTTTGGTGAAAGAAAAGAGGAGAGGAAGTAAAGAGGAGAGGAGAGTGGAGGGAGAAAGTGTTATGAGTGAAGGGATTCATATGTAAAGACCTAACATGGATAAGAGCTCTTTCAAATGACTGAAGACAGAGATTAAAATGCAGTGGGGAGTTGAGTGTGGAGAAGGCATAGGGTCAAACCTTAAAGGGCTTGTACTCCATGCTAAGAATTTCCACTGAGTTTCCAGCACGGGGTTAGGAAAATGTTGACTACTGATTTGAAAGGTCAGACTTGCATTTTAGATAGTATACTGAAACTGGAAAGTGGGAGAGAGAGGAAGGTAAAGAGGAAGCTGTATAGAAACCCAGGTGTATGGTCCCGGCAGTCTATGAAGGTGAGGGCGGGGGTTTCTTCTTTCTGTTTCAATGTACAGACTCTCATGGGTAGCGACTATTTGGGGCCAATGTCGCGTGGGAGGTAAAAAGAATTTACCAAGACAGTTGTAGGTAAAAAAGAAAATAAAAGGCAGATTTATTAGAGAACATGTGAAGATAGATTGCAGTGAAGCAACAGGCAGGTCAGCAAGAGAAGAAAGAGCTGACTGCAAGGAGACAAAGGCTTGCTGGGGGCTTTATAGGATGGAGCTTGTGCTGGAGAAAGCTATGTGCAGCACTGATAATGCCAAGGTTGCAGTGAGTTAACTTGCACTTTTCTATCAGCCGATGGTCTGGTGATAGCTGGGTACAGGAAGATTGTGAATTATTTGCACAGGAGGGCTATGTGTCCTGGACCATGAAAACAGGCAGACTTATAGCTTATCTGCTTTCTCTTTTTGCTTTCCTCTGGTCCTGCCAGCCTGACCTCTTTTCCCTAATTAGGTCTCCAGACAAACCAGAGATACCCTTCTAGGAAAAAGTTTAACTAATTTTCTCTAATGAGATTGGTTTATGTTTGGTTGTCCATTTGTGTTTTGAATGGGCCCTCTAAACTCAACACTGGGCAGATGCCTTAGGGGAAAAGAGAAAGGGCTCCACAGAGTGTGAGACATATTTCCTGGCCAACTGAACTGCAGAGCAAAGCAAACTCTCAAAGATTTGAGATGGAGAGATCCGTGAAGGCTGAGACAGGCCTGAAGAAGGAGCCTGGAAGGGTTAGAATTTAGGTCCATGGAGACTATAGAGCAAGACATCTAGACAGGAGACTCACATGTGTATGTACGTGAGTATTTAAAAATAATATGGTGAGTGAATAAAAGCTAATTCTAGAATCCAGGGTACTTGGATATGGCATACAGAATCATATCTAATAAGAAGAAAACAGCTCTGTTTCATCTATATGTAATTTGGAACAGACCAAATAGCATTTACTGCCTTGATATTTGGAAGGACAAATAGGGCTTTCCTAGTTGTGTGCAGGAATGCTGGGTCATGTGGGGACTAGATCTGGAAGTAGGACCAAAAGCTGTGCTCCTGCCATGGCTTCCATGTGATAATTTCCAAATAACTAGACAGGAGAGGACCTCGAAGTCCAAAAGAATGAAACCAAACAGTGTGAGCTTCGTCAGCATTCTTCCTTTGCACCCTGATTTCTCCACTGGGTTCCTCATCCTTCCCTGTCACTAATCTTAGAGTGAAAAACAAACGAACAGAAACAAAACCCTTCATTTCCTGCACAGTGCCCAGGAGCTCACCCTTGCCTTACTTTGGTAAACTGCCCCAGTTCCATCTCTTATCTGAAGTGTCTTTCTTCTTCAACACAGAATCCTCTCCCTCCACAAACTCCATCTTAAAAAGAATATCACTTCTCTAATTCCTTTTCCCCATTATACTCTTTCCCCATCATGCCTTCAACAAACTCTTGAGATTTTAATCATTTGTCCCTATTTTCTCATCACTCATCCACTCACTTCCCACTTTTCTCCACCTTCTCCCCAAGTCTCATCCAACAAGGACTGCTCATTCCCCAAAATATAATGACTTATTCCAAAGAGCTGCCCGCTGTCCTCCCTCTTTCTCTCTCTCTCTCCCTGCACCAGATAATATTGACCATTAGCTCCTTAAGTCTTTCCTCTTTCAGCTTCTTTCACACAGAGCTCTCTAGGTCTCACTACCTCTACATGGCCCCTCTTCCACTTCCACTCCAAGATTCTCTCCTCTCTCCCAATTTTTCCTTTCTCCATTATCCCTTGGCAGTCTCCCTGAATGGTTTGTGCTGTTACTGCAGTGTGGATAGTTCCCAGAGTCTGTGACTCTAGCTCTCCAAGCTGGGTGTCTTGTTTCCAGCCGTGTGCACAGTATCTCCAACAAGATGTCCTGTTAACTCCTCCTGAATTTTTACTAACCTGACATCATCTTTGTCCTTAGGAGCTTCTCCTCCTGACTTCCCACTTTCTCTTGATGGCACCAACAAACTTCCAGTCACCCTGGCTCGAAACCTCCAAGTTTATATTTGAACTCCTCTCCCTTGTTCCCCAAGTATTGCTTGATGTATTTTATAAGCCCATGCCCCTCTTCTTCATCCCAAACACCACTACCCAAGTGCAGATTTTATCACCTCTTGTATAAAAATAATAATAATGTGTGTGTGTTTACCATCTGTCAGCTACTCTGTTGCAAAGTGCTTTACGTTGATTTTCCCATTTAATCCTTACCATGACTGTACGAAGTACTTACTATTATTATACTGTAAAAAACAGCTTTCTGCCATCTTCCCAACTTCAACCTTTTCCTCTTTCAATTCATTTTCATCAGTTACAAGATTCACCTCCTAAAATGCCCTTGTAAACTTATCATTTTTCTGCACAAAAAACTTTGAAGGGCATTCCATTTTTTGCAGTTCCTTGTATTCAAGGCCCTGTATGAGCTGGTGCCCCACTCCATATCTAGCCTCACTTTTTACAGTTTCCTTGCCCTTTCTGCTTTTGTGCATTTGTTCACAGTTTACCTTCCCCTAAGACTTGTCCTTGTTCTTCAGTGTTCAATTCAAATGCCTCTGCCTGATGGGAAGGCTTTATGGAGAAGCTGTCCCTTCCTCCTGTGAATTTTAATAATGTGACATCTGTTTTTCATTAGCCCTTTACACTTTCTGAAATGCACTTTTTTTTTTTTTTTTGCGTGTGGCTTACCATCCCTCCTGGAGCAAGTGCTTTTTCTGTCTCCCACTCTATGTCACATGATGCCTGAAATACAGTAGGTGTTCAATGAAAAAATGGAGTGAATAAATGAATATACTCCCTCACCCATGAAGCAGGTGAAACAAGGTCAAGAAAGGGGATCTATACTATTTCCTAAAATAAGACAGTGGTGGAGTCAAAATTCAAACCAGGGACAGGAAAATGGTGTCATAGAGGAGGCAATGAATTGGTGATAAAAGGTTATGTTCTAATTCTTATCACTTCTGACAACCACAGGTAAGACTCACCTCTGTTCTCTGGGCCTTGGATTCCTTATCCATCAAAAGAGTTTGTGTTGGATGTGTTGACTTTTATGCTCCTCCCTGACCTGACAATTCTGTATTCTGTGAGTCTTGTTTCATAGCATACAGATTGTCTCCTGCTAAGAATACTTTTAGTGCTGACTGTATCTTTCATTTCAGGACCTTCCAGCTGTAACTTGAAGCCTCTAGTGTATCTGTTATCACATTGAGTCTCTAGAGATCAACTTGGCCAGTCAACTCAGCTGTCCAGCCAGTAAGGTGCCCTAAACTGGTTAGAGTGCCTCAAGGGCCCCAGGTTGGCACTCCTCAATGTGCAGCCACCAGTCAGCTCCCACTGCAGTATTCTAGGGCATTCGCAGAATGACTAGTAGTGCTCTAGGCTCCCAAATGTTCCAGACATCCTATCTCAACTCCTGCACTTCTGCCTTTCATAGAGCCCCCAGAAAAGATGTGTTTAGAGCCATGTAGATTCTGTTGAGAGTCTAGTAAAACCACTCTGCTCAGTGGCTTTCTAGATGCTCCACCTACCCCAAACATACCACTGTACTCTCTCCCCAGTGAGACAGGAAGAATCCTCTTGAGCCAATGCCTTTTAGCCCCTGAAAAGAAACTAATAGAGGAATCAACCTCAAGGGGAAATCATTATGGAAGAGCACATCTGTGAAGGTAGTAGCTAGATCTGCTGGGAGTCTGAGGAATCTGCTCCTAGCACCCCCTTGTAATAGGAGGACCCAGAGCATCCCTAGAGTTAATTATACAAAAGAACTACCCAGACTTGTCTCAGAGAGATGACTTTGACTGCTCGCCAGGTTTTATTTGTTCTTCAATCAGGCAATGATATGATTTAATTCCATATTTCAACATTTAAAAAATTAAAATAAATTAAATGGCATTAAAATACATCTGGCTTCTGGAGAATAGCCTGAGAAATATGTACATAAAGGAGGCTGATCACCAGCATCCCTTGATGGCTTTGCAACAGGGCAGAAGGATGTCAGCCTCCCCCATGGGTAACCTCAGAAGATAGAGCCCAGGTGGTTCTCTCTTGGCAACAGGGAAGGGCAGGAACGATGTCGGCCTCAGGCTGCCCTGGGATTCTTGCTCCTTTGACTCCAGCCCTGACTTCCTTTCAGTTGCAGGGGATGCTTCCTCTTGGTCCTTCCCGACATGACACACTCCTTCAGCCTGCTGAAAGGAGACCTCTGGCATTCACAGCACGAAGGTTTGGTTCTGGCTCCATTATTTATTGGCATAGCAACACTCAGCAATAAATGAGCCCCAATTTCTTCTTCTGTATGATCATCCTCATAAGAAGGATTAAATAAGATCCTGTGAGTGAGAAGTTCTTTGTAAACCCCTGGCACATAGCATTGTTTAATATTTATTGAATGAATGATGCAGTATAAATGCTGATTATCATTATGCCATACTCTGAAGGAAAAGTGAGGTGCTAATGAGAGGACTAAGACTGGGAGAAGGGGCCGTGTTTAGAATTAGACTCACGACTTCTGTCCAAACACTATGTGGTCCCATTGGTTCTTGAGAATGAACAAAACTCTCTGAACTCTGAGGTCATTGGCTTTAACCATATACCTCTCTACCCTAAGGCTTGCCAGGAAGTTTGAAGTCTCTTCCTAGATGCATCTTTCCAGAATCACTTAATGAAAACTCCTGTAGAGTCATTTTGCATCCACTCAGCAAATACTTACTGAGTACTCCCTCTGCCAGCACTAGCCAAGGCACTGGGAATACTGTGGTGAACAAAAGGGACCAGATTCCTGCTACTATGGAGTATATATTCTATGATAAACTAGTAAAAAAGCAAACAAAAACAATGATGATTTCATCAAGTGAATATGGGCTGTAAAGAAAACGAAAAGTGATGTTACAAGAGAGTACTGGAGGGGGAGATTGCCTTTAGATAAGATGGGCGGGGGAAAGCCTCTCAGAGAGGGGGCATCTAAGGCCTGAATGAAATCTAAAAGTGACCTATGTGGATATTTAGGGTAAGGTTGTTTCAAGTAGAGAGAACAGTAGATGCAAAAGTCCTAAGACACATGCTTGCCTGTTCTAGAAACTTCAAAGTATTTCATCTGAGTTGGAGTGGAGTATGGGTGGAGCAAAACAAAATGGTAGGAGATTTGAAAGGTCAGCAAGTTAGAAGCTAGATGAGAAGTCAGTAGGGGGTGGGGTGCCACAGAAAGAGAGAGGATACAAAGAATTGCATGATCTATCTGATTTACATTTTAAAGAGACTTTCCGGCTGTTTTGTGGAGAGTAGATTATAAGGGGTGGAGCAAGGTTGGCAGCTGTTGCAGTAGTCCAGGTGAGAGATGTAATATTAAATATTAAATCTCCAGCAGCTAGAATGGAATGTGACACACATTTGGCACTCAATAAATTTGAGAATGCATCCAGGCAGAAATGATCTTCAAAGAACCTACAACTGTGATGGGCACATAGTAAGTACTCGACCAATACTTTCGTTCATGAATCAATGAACAGCATCATGCTTTCTTGTAGCCACTCTAGATTACCTTGAAGTTAATCTCAATATTTTGGGTTTTTTACACATAATTCTTATCCTTCTAGCTAGCATTTTTTCTTAGGAGCAATATGTTCCATGGGTTCATTTTATCCTGTGTGAAACTGCGGTCATTTGAAACAGATCTGAGATGTCTGACTCCATAACCTTTAGGCAGTGTTCATAAGTCCCCAAACCCTTTGCTTACACTTAGATACTGATCTCATATACCTTTCTGTGTGTCACTCCCGAGGGGGAACCAGACCTGCTTCATCAGTGCATCTTCAGAGCTTATCACAGTCTGGTCTATTGAATCCACAAATGGTTATTCCCTTGACTAGACTGAGGAACACTCTAAGGCCTTGATTGGGTTCCATTTGTCCCACAGTTACAGGAAGTCCTAAAGCTAAGAAGATATCTAAGTTGGATGGTTTTGTGTTGATTCCTTCAGCTTTCATTTCTTGGGGCCTGGAGATCTCAGGATCGGGATGAACTTTGCAGGGCCAGTGGAGGAAGGGGCCTGATGTGGTATGGTCCTTGCTAGGCCTCTTCATTCCTCTTCACCATCATCTTCTGTTTCTATTGGTCTCCAACTTACATGGATTCTCCTTTCAGTGCCTCTGAAATCCATGCCTTCCCCAGCAGCCCTTTTCCCACTGCCTTGGTTCAGTTCTCCATTGCCTCTCATCCCAGTCCTGGGAGAGTCTGGACTGGTCTTCCTGCCGCCAGTCTTGCCCCGCTTTCATTCACCTATCCTGTTCCCACACTGTCATCACTCTAGGTTGCCTATCCAAAAGAAAAACATTGATCTTGTCCCTCCTATGATTAAAAACCTTCAGTGCTTCCTTATTGCCTCCAAGAGAATGCCCACATTCCTTGGCCAGGCACACAAGGCCTCTTACCAGCGATTCCTCACTTATCTCCACAGCTTCTCTCAAGTCTTTCAGCCATACTGCTCATCCTTCTGGAAACAGACGCTGCTTGTTCGGGCTTCCATGCCCTTTAGCATGGGATTCCTGTGGCCTTTGTTTGAGATGCACTGTCTTCCACCCAATTAACTCCTGTTCATTCTTTAAATCCTAGATCTAATGTTAGCTGGTTCATGCAGCTGGCCCCAGTGATCCCAAGAGGTACTATACCTTCCTTTCTTGTGATCTCTTGGCACTTTGCACATGCTTCAAAATCTGGTAGTTGTTTTGGTGTAATTATTTGGTTTTCTGTCACTGTTCTCCAGTGAAGTGTGTGCTTCTCTAGAGGGATTATATTTTGTTCATATTACTCAAATTCAGAAAACCTTGCTCACAGCATCCCTGACAGATGGTTCTCCAGCCTCCAAGTTGAACACTGCCAAAGATGGGAGAACTCACTGGATATTATCCCTTCTATTTTTGCACATTCATTCCATGTACTCCTTCATTCAATAAATATATACTGAGCATCTGTGATATGCCAGGCACTGATTTAGGCACTGGGCATACAGAAATATCAGATAAAAATTTCTACCCTCTTGGAACTTATAACTTTTTTGAGTGTGTGGAAAAAAATGAGTTTGGAACAAATTAACCTTCTCAGCATAATTCAGTGAAAGTCAGCCTGTGACACATAAGCTGGGTTTCATACAAATGCATAAATGCATGCATGCATGAATGAATAAATGAGTAAGTGAGTGAATGAACAAAGAGGCCATGAGGAAGTGTGAAGAAGTAGACCTAAGCTATTATCAGTGAAAGGAAAAATAATTAGAAATACAACTTGCTGAAAATGGACGAATAGCATCATTTTCCTACAAAGACAAGAGAATTATGGATTTTTTATATTTCATGAGTACAAGTATAAACCAAGTAGACAGCAAGTTTAGGGAAAGATAAAGGGAAAATCTGCTTATGTGGGTAGAGAATTGATGCTGACTATTCTTGGCAAGGTATGAAAGGAAATGAGACTTCAAGAAGGTGAGATGTTTGTCCAGCGCATAGAAATGTCTTGTGGTACCCATTTGTGCGTCAACGCATGATCTGCTATGAGTCCTTCTCTCAGTCCAAAGAAAGTCTCTAATGGCTGGAATACCTGGGATGCAAATGTCATAGTCAGGTGAGGTTCCTTCTCTTCTCTCCCAGGATTTTCAACCTTGTCTGTATCTTAAAATCAATAAAAGAACTTTTCAAAAACATAAGTATTTAGGCTCCTCTCCCAGAGAGTTCAAAACTTAGGTCTGGAGTAGGATCTAGATGTCTGTATTTTTTAGAACTCCATGGTTATTCAGATGTACAGCCATCTCTAGAATGTGATCCTGGTTCCATCACTGTCTCCAACAGGAGGATGACTTAAACGCAGATGTAGACCCAGCCATGGGAAAAACAAAACTTAAATTAAGCTGAGCTAAGCCCTGTCTCTTCCTAGCTCTCTGGCCCACTCTCAGTGTTTGTAACTCCCCAGATCTGTCAAGGATTTGGAGAGGGCAAAGTCCTCTGGTTTACACAAGTCTAGCACATTTCAGGCATCTTTGAATCACAGAATTTTAGAGGTAGAGAGGGTTATCAGAGGTCAAGTTCAACCTCTTAGTCCTATCAATAGAGTTTCACAGAGTGTGATGATGCATTTTTACAAACAAAAAAGCTTCCCCTTTGGGAGGGTGAGGTGGGCGGATCACTTGAGGTCAGGAGTTCGAGACCAACCTGGCTAACATGGTGAAATCATGCCTCTATTAAAAATACAAAAATTAGCCAGATGTGGTGGTGCACACCTGTAATCCCAACTACTTGGGAGGCTGAGGCAGGAGAATCGCTTGATCCTGGGAGGCGGAGGTTGCGGTGAGCCGAGATTGCGCCACTACACTCCAGCCTGGGTGACAGAGTGAAACTGCCTCTCAAAAAAAAAAAAAAAGAAAAAAAAAAGCTTCCCTATATTGACTTGAAATTTTTCATAGAGCTTCCAGAAGAGTGTGGAAGATGGATAGGTAAACAGATAAGCCCAGTACAGTGTGACAAGTGCTTCAGGGATGACCAAAGTGTTAGAGGAACCCAAGAGAATAAATGACTCACTTTACAATTAGAGGAAGATGCATTTTCGGGGAAGGCTTCCCAGAAGACACAGAACTTTCTGGAGCCCAAAGTTCTTCACCTAAGGGATCTTGATCCCTAGCCTACTCTTCCACCATCCCTTTCATCTCCTGGAGCTTAAAAGCAGACTTTAGCATTTGACACACCAAGTTTCATAGCCCCTCTTTGCCACTTGCTCAGCTGGTAGACCTTGGGTAAATTATGAATCTTTGAGGCCCCTATCTCCTCATTTCTAAAACAGATAACAAGACATGTCTCATGGTGGGTTTGTGAGGTATTAAATAACAGATATAAAAGTGCCTAGAGTAGTGCTGGCTATAGAGTAGGTGCCTGATGAATATATATGATCATTGCTGTTGTCATCACTTTTTTAAAGTCCTTGGTCCATATAAAGAATGAGGAGACGGAGGCCTGCTGATGCCCTGGTCTGTCTAGGAAGCTTTCTTTTCTCTTCTTCTGTAGTAGTACCTGGGAGAGTGTCAGCAGGGTTTCATGAAACTGTCAGACGGTTCAGAAGTCATTAAAGGTCTGAGAGACTTCAGAGAAGGCAAAATATGACAATTGCATGAGATCAGAGAAGCAAGAACAGTATAATATTATCTCACATACGACTGCAACATTCTCTACATTAAAAGCCCTGCTGCAGTGCAGCCACTGCCCACACGGGTTGAGGCATCCGTAGAGCCACCAACCTGAGCGCTTAGAGCAGCAGAAGAAAATCATATTACTTTCCAAGACATAGTTGTAATCAATTATTCCAATAATTACTTGTTTGTCTCCACCCCTCATCAGAAAATAAACTCTCAGAGGTTGGAGAAGTGGTTCATGGCTGTACCTGCAATTGCTAGCACAGTGTTTGGCCTTAATAGGCAAAAAAAAAAAAAAAAAAAAAAAAAAAACAAAAAAAAAACGGATTTGGTCCAAGGGGCTTTTTGGTAAATCCAGAATGTAGGCTCTCCTTGACTTTTCCCTGGTCCCCTCTTCCTACCACCCCCTCCTAGCTTATTCTCTTATCCTCTGAGGTCTCTGTGGGAGTCTAAATTCCACACCTGGCTTTCACGTGGCTCTGGGCCCATCTAACATAAAATGTGTCCCTTCACTTCTTTCCTTTCCTGTCATCAAAGCATGTTTGACTGGAAGGAACTATAGCGATCATCTAACCCAACCTGCATTTTATGGATGAGGAAGCTGCTGCCCTAAGAGGGTCACTGACTTCCCAAGGTCTCACACCTCATTGAGGCGAGGCTGGAAAGGAAGTTCTTGTCCATTTTCAAATCCAGGGCTCTACCATGGATCCATTCTGCCTGTATGTAGAGCTTCCAAGCTTGTCGGGGGCCTCCACATCTAGAAAGACTCAGCCTGCCCTCCTTGAGCCTTTGCTCGAAGGGGCGCTCAAACCTAGGGTATGTGTCAAGCACAGTGGTAACAGCATGTGTCCTGGAGGTGGACTGCCAGAATTCAAATGCTTACCTTTCTGTTTACTAACTGGGGTCTTAGGCAAATTCCCTAACCTCTATGAGTTCCAATTTGCCATCTCTAAAACAAGTGTGGTGATAATAGCACCTCCTTCATTGTGAAGATTCAAAACATTAATAATGCAAGAAAAACATTTAATATCATTATATTTTCCTCCTTGGATACAAGTTCCAGTTGTGGCAATCAAGCTACCTAAGCAGCAGAGGTCACATCTTTCCTACTCTTGAGAGAGTCAGGAGCTTCATTCCTGTGTCTCTCGAGGAGTATTGCCGAGGACAGGACTGCACTGACTTCCACCCACCGGAGGCAGAGGAAGTGCAGGAGAATATGCAGTGTGCTTGGACTCGGGTGACACAACGGAGCCAGTGCAGCCTGGCTGGACCTAAAACTTTTATGTAAATTGGCTATGACACCTGTGCAGGGGCCCAGATTTAGAAGCAGAGTGGGACAACTCTACCCAGGCTGGTGACATGCCCGGAGCAGTGTTCCCATTGGAGAAAGTGGAGGGCATAGCAGGAGGGAGAATTTGCTCAGTCTGTCCTGGTGGCACTGTTTTATTAATGATCTGGAAGAGCGGAGGAACGGTGACTTTAATTAAATTTGCCAGTGATATTAAAAGATGTCAGGAGCCACTGCTAAGGACACAGACGCCTTGCAGATGGCCTCAGAGGCGTTAGGAAGATGGTCCGGAAAAGGGATGAGAGGCTCGGGGCTGAGCCAGGGCATCAGTTTGACTGAGAGAGGGGAGTGTGACATGGGGACAGACGGGCATCATGAGCAGAATCTACCCAGGCCCACCATGCTTGTCTGTATCTGTTCAGTTTGCAGTAGAGTTCTATCTGACCTTCCTGCTCCTGTCTTGCCCACTTACAGCCATCCTAAACCCTTAGGTGAAATTGGTATTTCTGAAAGACGAATCATACCATGTCATTCTTTGGTTTACAACCCTATCACTGGCTTTTCATTGCCCTTAGAATAAAACCCTGTCTTCTCAGCTTGGCATCTAAAGCTTGCCATGAGTGAAGTCTTCCCTACTGTCTAGCCTCATCTACTGGGCCTCCTGCCTCACACTGCATGTCTTGTAATCCCACGCCCACAGCAGCCTTTTCCATCATGTTTCCATGTCTTTGCCTTTGCCTGGGCTGTTCTCTTTGACTTGAATGCCCTTCCCACTTTCCTTTTTTTTGACTAAAGCTCACTCATGCTTGAAGTCTCATTTCAGGAATCACCTCCTTCAGAATGCCTCCCTGAATCCCCAGGCTGGCTCAGTGCCCTCTTCACATTCTCATAGCATTCTGCCCTACCTCCTCTTTTTACAATAAAAGTGTTTATTTGTACATCTGTATACTTCTGCTAGATTGTACCTTTGAGGGCAAACGCGGTGTCTCTCTTTTTTTTTTTTTTCTTTTTTAATCCACCAGCGTCTAATACCAGGTCTAGCAAATCACAGGCTTTTGTCAATGTTTGTCAAACTGAACTGATGGGAAGAATATTTGGATGGGAGGCTGCAGCAGGCAGCCAGAACAACCCCAGTAAGCCTGGGAACTAGGCATCGAAACAGTAAGTTTCTCCTCTGAGCAGGTGTGGGACAGTCACCTTGCTTCTAAGTCCACATAAGACTGGAAACTGATTGGAGGCCGTGGACATTCTACAACAAAGTGGGACAGCTTAGTAAAATAGGGTGGTTAAAACCATACTTTATGTCATCTGTCTGTGAATTCTAGTTCTACTATTTCCTTTGTACTTTGAGTAAATGACTTAGGTAAGACTCAGTTTCCCAAAATATAAGATAGGGATAAAAATATTTCTAACCTCATAGGGTTGCTATGAAAATTAAGTGAGAAAGCACTCAGCATTATGCAAATAATAAACACTTGTAGATGCGAATTACTGTTATTAATGTCTTTATGATTTGGGGTGGTCCTGGGTGGGGGAAAAGATCTCAAGTTGAGTCATATCTCTGAGTATGCCTCGGGGTTAATAGCCTTCTGGAACCACAGAAGATTATCTGGGTCTCTAAGGGGTTGAGCTGGACCCCCAAGATGTTGGGATCTATCTCAATTGGTGTCTGGGCCGGGGCAATTGCATAAAAAATGACGACTGGCTTGGTCATTAGAGATGTTCCTGCTTTCTCTAACATCTCAGCCAGAAACCATTTCCTGGCAGGGCTGCAAAGAGGAACTAGGCATTCACAGGGCATTTTCCACCTTCAATTTCAAAAACTGGGTGCCTGCATTTACTAGCCATCTCACCGCCTTGCCTTTTCTTTTTCTTTTTTTGTTTTTGAGACGGAGTTTCACTCTTGTTGCCCGGGTGGGAGTGCAATGGCGCGATCTTGGCTCACTGCAACCTCAGCCTCCTGAGTTCAAGCCATTCTTTTGCCTCAGCCTCCCAAGTAGCTGGGATTATAGGCGTGCACCACCACGCCCAGCTAATTTTGTATTTTTAGTAGAGATGGGGTTTTGCCATGTTGGTCAGGCTGGCCTTGAACTCCTGACCTCAAGTGATCCACCTGTCTCAACCTTCCAAAGTGCTGGGATTACAGGTGTGAGACACTGAGCCAGGCCTTGCCTTTTTTCTTTAATCTTTTCCTTCAGTTCATTTATTTTCTCATGGAATAGTCTTTTTAAACTGGCCTCTGATTCTGATCATATGATAGCACATTGCCCAGAAAAACCTGTTGCCACAAAGCGTCTACAGGGCCAAAGGAAAACAAAGACCGTCATCCTCCTTAATTCTCCTGGTCCATAAGATAAATACGACTCCAAGTCCCCTGTTAATCAGGATGATTCTACCATCCCAATGTTCCATGTCCTTTCACTCTGGAAGACCGGCTCTCTTCTCTCCCCCATGGATACTCACCCTCTTGGGATTGGTTGGCTCTCATAGCAGCCACCTCCTGTCACTGGGTTGGCACTTGAAGAAAGAGCTACTCAGCTGTGCCTACCATCTGTCATCGCTGCATGGGGCTCATTGGAATCCACAAAGTGTCAGGGTTTTCAGAGGTCAAAGTAAAGAGCCAAGGTCCTTTTCTCTCCACATTTCTCTAGGGTGGGTGAGTGTCAAACCTCTGAATGAATGCCTTTGTGCACATCATTGATGACAAGAGCTTTCTTAACCTTTGAAGATGGATGCTGAACATCTTCAACCACTCTATTCCTCCACAGTCATTCCCATAACCTCTTCTCCTCTGAGTGAGGTCAAAGGCACAACAGGTCCCAGCACCTGTTGTGATGCCCCCAGCACCTGGACTAATGGAGAATGTGGGCTTCAGAACTTGGCTGCCACTCTAGGGATTAAACCAAGTAAATCCTCAGCTCTTTGGGAGGGAGGTCTTCATGGGGACAATATGCACCCTGATGTTTTGTGTCCCGAAGAGAATTTCTCTTTGAGCACAGGCTTTGGAAATTTAAAGAGGTCCCACATAGCCTCTAAAATCCAGTCTGGTTTTGTCTATGAAATGTATATGTATTTCCAAAGCAAATGGCTACAATTCAGATAAAAAATAAAGAAGGCTGTCATCCAAGGAAGCTTCATTGGTGACTACATTTATTCATTCCAAAAACATACAGTTACTGAGAACCTACTAACCATTCAGGATACCATGATAAACAGAAGAGACACAGTCTTTGCTCTTATGTCATTCACTGTTTATTGGATGAGATCTAAAGCATTATTAAGAGTGGGGAGTGCAAAGAAGAAACCCTCATTTCAAAGATGAATGAGAATAATGGCATGTACAAAGGTCCTGGGGTGGACAGTCACTTGGTATAATCCAAGAGTGAACCTGAAGGCTATTGTTGTTGAAATGTAATAAGGGAGAGAGTGACGGGATGAAGGGGGATGAGTGGGAAGCAGTGAATTCCTGCAAGGCTTTGAAGGTCATGGGAAAGAATTTGGTCTTTATATCAAGAGCAAGAGAAGACTACTAAAGGGCTTCAAACAGGGGAGCGATATGCTTAAGTCTGTTTGTTTGTTTTTTTAAAAAAAGATTACGGTGGCTATATGAGGAAAGTGGAATTGAGAACTAGTGAGAGTTGGAGTGGTGAGCTCCATTAGGAGGCTACTGAAGTAGATTCATGAGGTAAGGAGTGATGGTGGCCTGGGCTGGGATGATGGTGGTAGAAATGGAGAAAGAGTTGATAGGATTTAGTGATTGGATAAGGGACAGAAGAGAGATGAAGGCTTTCAGACTAACATCTGCTTTCTAACATGAGTAACTGGGTGGCTGAAGATGCTATTTTCTGAGCTGGGAAACAGGAGAAAAAGGAGCAAATATGGGGGATGAAGACTTTGAGTCTTTAAGGTGCTGTACAAACACAAATCAGCATTCCTTTATTACTAAGGGTATCCCACACAGTTGTAGCAGAGGGAGAAAGATCGCCCCCCCCCCCACTTTTTTTTTTTTTTAGCTATTCCATGGTATTTTCATTCTCATCCCACCCAAATGAGGCAGTGAGTGGTAAGATGAGTATATAATAGTTTCAATTGCATTTCATCCCATTCTTCTGAGCTCAAGCTCACCTTTTAGTGGTTTGAGGCCAGTAGATGAAGCTGCATATCACCCCCAAAATCTTGTCTCTAGTTTAACAAAACTTATTTGAGAGACATTTGCATGTTTTATTAATAATGATTTTTACCACTTGTTCCTTTCCATGTTTGGGTTTGAAATTTGAGTGGCTGGCGGATGATCATCTTCCTGTTACTGCCTGCTTAAACTGCTCATAAGCAGGTTTTACTGGAGGGCTCAGAGCTGCTGTGAACTTGGTCTTGGGCACAACTTACATGGCCTCTGTTTGGCTATGGGGTGGGTGGCATTCACCATTTATCAACTCTTTTGATTTCCCAAGCTATCTCAGAATTATAGCTTGCCTCCAGAAGTCTTGCATTCGGGGAGGAAGTTTCTTTCCAAGGGAGCTCAGTTTTCAAGGTTTATTGCTCTGTTTAATGGATGAGATCTAAAGCATTATTAAGAGTGGGGAGTGCAAAGAAGAAACACTCATTTCAAAATCGATTGAGAATAATGGCATGTACAAAGGTCCTGGGGTGGACAGTCACTTGGTATAATCCTGGAGTGAACATGAAGGCCAAGGAAATATGTATACATTAAACAGAGCAAGGTTTTCAATTTTCTGGGGACTAGTCCATGAAAATTCAATTCAATATACTCTCTTGCAAACCTATGTTATCCAAGATACTCAAGTATAATGACAACAGGGTAAGGAAGTCCGAACACCCCAGAAACAGTATAAATGGGCATGAAGATTCAGGTTATACATGGCCTATTTTAAGTTGCTTCTTGAGAACTCTCACAGGTAATACCAGTTTGGGAGACAGGACTTGAAGGCTATTGCTGCATTTCCATCCCCAGTATTCCCAGCTATTTCAAGCCATTTTTCAACGGAGTCTCCACCAGATGGTTTGGAGGACAGAGCAGCTATTTGTGCCTCCCATTGACATCTATTTTTCCAAGTGAGAGACTGCCCCATATGTTAGTGCAATATGTCACTGGAGGTGAAGCATCAGTTGTATTGGTGGGAACCTGCCGTTTGCTGTCCCCTTTTTCCTCATGCCTTTTCCTGCCTCTCTGATCTTTTCTAGGTCTCTGGCCTATCAGGAGGACAACTGGTGCTGCAATAGAAGCCAGTGGCTAAGTCTCGTGTATGGCGTGGTTAAGGTTGCAGCCTCTCACCTCTGCCTTCCTCCATTTTGGGCTGGTTACCTTTGTGCTCTTCCTGAATGGTCTTCGAGCAGAGGCTGGTGGCTCAGGGGACGTGCCAAGCACAGGGCAGAACAATGAGTCCTGTTCAGGGTCATCGGACTGCAAGGAGGGTGTCATCCTGCCAATCTGGTACCCGGAGAACCCTTCCCTTGGGGACAAGATTGCCAGGGTCATTGTCTATTTTGTGGCCCTGATATACATGTTCCTTGGGGTGTCCATCATTGCTGACCGCTTCATGGCATCTATTGAAGTCATCACCTCTCAAGAGAGGGAGGTGACAATTAAGAAACCCAATGGAGAAACCAGCACAACCACTATTCGGGTCTGGAATGAAACTGTCTCCAACCTGACCCTTATGGCCCTGGGTTCCTCTGCTCCTGAGATACTCCTCTCTTTAATTGAGGTGTGTGGTCATGGGTTCATTGCTGGTGATCTGGGACCTTCTACCATTGTAGGGAGTGCAGCCTTCAACATGTTCATCATCATTGGCATCTGTGTCTACGTGATCCCAGACGGAGAGACTCGCAAGATCAAGCATCTACGAGTCTTCTTCATCACCGCTGCTTGGAGTATCTTTGCCTACATCTGGCTCTATATGATTCTGGCAGTCTTCTCCCCTGGTGTGGTCCAGGTTTGGGAAGGCCTCCTCACTCTCTTCTTCTTTCCAGTGTGTGTCCTTCTGGCCTGGGTGGCAGATAAACGACTGCTCTTCTACAAATACATGCACAAAAAGTACCGCACAGACAAACACCGAGGAATTATCATAGAGACAGAGGGTGACCACCCTAAGGGCATTGAGATGGATGGGAAAATGATGAATTCCCATTTTCTAGATGGGAACCTGGTGCCCCTGGAAGGGAAGGAAGTGGATGAGTCCCGCAGAGAGATGATCCGGATTCTCAAGGATCTGAAGCAAAAACACCCAGAGAAGGACTTAGATCAGCTGGTGGAGATGGCCAATTACTATGCTCTTTCCCACCAACAGAAGAGCCGTGCCTTCTACCGTATCCAAGCCACTCGTATGATGACTGGTGCAGGCAATATCCTGAAGAAACATGCAGCAGAACAAGCCAAGAAGGCCTCCAGCATGAGCGAGGTGCACACCGATGAGCCTGAGGACTTTATTTCCAAGGTCTTCTTTGACCCATGTTCTTACCAGTGCCTGGAGAACTGTGGGGCTGTACTCCTGACAGTGGTGAGGAAAGGGGGAGACATGTCAAAGACCATGTATGTGGACTACAAAACAGAGGATGGTTCTGCCAATGCAGGGGCTGACTATGAGTTCACAGAGGGCACGGTGGTTCTGAAGCCAGGAGAGACCCAGAAGGAGTTCTCCGTGGGCATAATTGATGACGACATTTTTGAGGAGGATGAACACTTCTTTGTAAGGTTGAGCAATGTCCGCATAGAGGAGGAGCAGCCAGAGGAGGGGATGCCTCCAGCAATATTCAACAGTCTTCCCTTGCCTCGGGCTGTCCTAGCCTCCCCTTGTGTGGCCACAGTTACCATCTTGGATGATGACCATGCAGGCATCTTCACTTTTGAATGTGATACTATTCATGTCAGTGAGAGTATTGGTGTTATGGAGGTCAAGGTTCTGCGGACATCAGGTGCCCGGGGTACAGTCATCGTCCCCTTTAGGACAGTAGAAGGGACAGCCAAGGGTGGCGGTGAGGACTTTGAAGACACATATGGGGAGTTGGAATTCAAGAATGATGAAACTGTGTAAGTAACCTTCCTGTATTCTGCCCCTCCCTGACCCCATCTTTTGCCATCTCTTTCTGTCTTTCTGTACTGCACTTTACAACATTTCCTTGTGTTTGTGTTAATGTCAAACTTTGGTTCCATCACAGGTATGCAGGATCAGCAGACACCACTGGACAGGTTCTGCTTCCAAACTCTTCTTCAGTTTTCTCACTTTAAATTGTTTCTGGGCAAGGAATCCTGTGACAAGAGCTAAGGACACAAAACATTTTCTTCTCTGAAACACAAAATGATAGCTGGTGGAGCTGTGGGATGACAGAAGTTTTGTGATATCAGATTTTGGAGAATTCTTGTGACTAAGAAGGACTAGAGAACTGCTTGGGCCTCTTCTTCCTCCCTTCCTCATATGAAGGGTATCTATGAGCTTTGAAACCAATCCTTTCCATTCTGGGCAGCAATAGCCCATCAGAACATTCTAAAGAAAACAAGTGGCATTGGCTTTGTTCCCTGGTACTATATTGCCAGTCTCACTGTGTAACCAGATTCCAGGCACGTCTTCTTTAATTTGGAAATTGCAAAATTGATAGAAATTTAGCAATCTTTTTAAATGACCATAGACTATTTAATGGTGTGAGGCTTGCCCAGCCTAGTTGAATTGAGTCAGTATGGTTTGGATACTGGAAAGTATCTTGGAGAAGCAGAGCTCCCAGGGCAGTGGCTACTTGTCTTTAGTCACAGGTCTAAGCTCCAAAATCTGGTGAAGCAGTGAAGGAGAAACATCCTAGGAATTGTGGGAGGAAATATATCTTCTGTGTGGTCCTCTCTTTTCACAGTCTAGGACTCTCCTGAAGTACCTCTTCTTGGGCTACTGCCCCATTCAGCCCTTCAGAAACTGTGGGTATTACACTTCTGTCACCTCTATTACCCTAAGGCCTCTGCCCATTGAACCCTCTTGCAAATTGGTTATTCTGTCCTTTTTCCAGTTGGATAGCTTTAAAAGGGAAAGCAGAATGACTTTCCTCAGGATTTGTAGCTTATGAGAAAGTAGACTTTCTTGGGTGGCCTAGAAGGTTGGAGAAGACAAACGGGAACTTCCTCTGAATGACTGAACATATCCACAAATAATAAGCGTGGCAGGAGATGGTGTGAAGAGTAAAAGGAGCATATAGGAAGTTGTGTGTGTGGGGTGTCTGTTTCAAGAACCTGCTAATTATACCTTCAGTAAGAAATGAAGCCATACAACCTCTAGAAGAGGAGGAGGAAGGAACTCATGGAAAAGTGGGGAGCCATAGAAGCTAGGGAGAGGTGTCCTAGGAGTGCTTCTGCCCAGGTCCAGCCATGAGACAGAGCTCAAAAAGAGCTGGGCACTGCTGGTGACAGAACTGAGTGACCCGGGGGATCCTGCATCTGTTCTTACTCAATCCCTTCTTAATAATGTGACTTGGGGCAGGTCATTTATTGGTTCTGGAACTTAACTTTCTGATATGCAAACTGGGAATAACAATACTTTCCTTGCCTGGAGGCAAGGTCAGTCCTTTTTGCAGTTCCTTCCAGCTCTAAGATTTTCTGAACCATAGACATAAGCACTCAGTGTAGGTCATATTCGCACTTGCCAAAAATGGATCAGGGGATATTGTCTCCTGAAGGGAAATGGCCATTGACAAATTGATTTATTAGAGCTCTGTTTAGTCATTTTGCTGGGAAGGATAATCATTTGTTAACGTAAGTAGAAACCTGTGCCTTCTGGAGAATACTATCCATTTATATGTACTCTGGGGAGAGTGTTTATACATACAAATGAAGGACAGGGCTTCACTGGGAAAACAAACTCCATGGAATTTCACATGATTATCGCGATGTCAGTGTGGAAGAAGATATGGTAAGGCATTAAATGACATTAAGACCACAAAATTTGCCATAATTTGACGGACTTGTGGTTCTTCTGATTCAGAACCCTTTCTACCCATGTCACGGATAGGTAGTTTTTCAGAGATCAGAGGCTTAGTTCATTCTATTAATTTCCTCATTCTATTAATAATCAATTATGCACCTAGGGTCTCTGAATACGACTAAACCTTCCTCAAACTTATTTGCGTTTTCAGTTTGTATAATATCTTGGTGCAAATGAGCCTCGCAAATGATCACTTCTGGGTAATACTCATTCTAAAGGTATGTCAACCTTGAGAATTCTGGTCTAGATATTCTAGGGTTTGGTGAACAAATCTATGTTCCCATCCATCCCTTTTCATTTATTTTTTAGACTTCATTCATTGCAGAATAATGAGTCCAAAACCTGCTCATCTGTTCTCACGTGGCACCCCTATTCTTGATATTTTAAATTGCAATTTTACAACTAGAGGCAGTATTACGGAGCAGAAAAATCGTGGGTTCTAAGTACTCTGGGTTAGGATTCTGGCTCCACTACTGATTTAATAATGTAGTTTGGGGAAATTTTATTAACCTATGAAATTATTTCCTCATTGGCAAAATGGGGATAATAATATCTCTCTTGCAGGGCCATTATGACGATTCAAGGTATTGTATGCGGTGTACCTGGTACACGGTATATGCTCAGGAAACAAGACTCTTCATAGTAATATTGACGAATTAACAATATTCTTCAGAAGACACTGTGGAGTTGTTTAGGTTACTTGGCTCTTTGTGTGACCCTAAGTAATGAGCATGCCAGTTTGGGGTTACTATGAAGAGTACTTACCTAAACTCATAAAATATTAGAGCTAGAAAGGACCTTAGAATATCTTCTGCAGTCATGGTTCTTAAATTTTAATGTGTTGCTCAATCATCCAGGGATCTCACTGAAGGGCAGATTAGGATCCAGGAGGTCTAGGGGAGGGATTGAGATTCCGCATTTCTAACAAGTTCTGGATGCTGCGGGCCCCAACTTAGAGGTGAAAGGTTCTGAAGCTCTTGACCAAACCAGGAGACCCAGCAAAGAAGTGGTTTTTCAGACAACTTGCTTAATTGAATAATGATTGTTTGCTCTTTAATTCCAACTTTCAACGCCAATTTAGCAAGAACCAGAGGCTGTGCTAATTGCCACACCAGTCTGGAAACCGAAATGGATAGCTTCAGGGTACTTGGACAAAGTTGGAACATCTGCTTTCTAATCTCTCCCTCTTTGTATAGCTTTATTTGCCTACCAAGCCTGGTAGTATTGAAAATCTGCCCTCACTATACTCCCCTAAATATAATCAAGTTGAGGCCAGGCCTGTGCTCTATCAATAATATAGGATCCACGAATTCACATGTTTGGTTTTATGCTTTACTTCTTCAAAGGTGCTTTTAGCAGCATGGAAGAATGGAAAAGCACGAGCTTTGGAATATGAAAGCAGATGTGAATCCATCACTTACCAGTAACTTTTAACAAGTCACATCACTTTTCTGAGTACCAGGTTTTTGTTGGACAACAGAAATAATATTCTCTATCCTTCAAGGGAATACTAAATATAAGTATGAGAAAAATGCACAGTGCCTTCTCGTAGATGGTGTTCAGTCATTCAACAAACATTTGTTAGATATTTGCTATGTACTAGCTACATTACTAGGCACTGGGGTTAAATAAGTGAATAAGACAAGCTGACATTTCAGCGCTCAAGGATCTTACTGTCAAGTGGAGAGGATCAAAGGGTACAGACAAATCAAGGAACGTGAGAGAAGTGGTATGGCTGAGATGGATTGAATAAAGGAGCAATGAGAGCTCCCTGCAATGTGTGTGGTACCACTGAGGATTCTAAATTAACCTTCATTAAGGACTTAGTAGTGACAGAGGTGAAGTGGGGATAGGTACATGATTAATTTACATCCATATTACAATGAAACCTTAACATTTAAGAGGGATATTATTGATGTCTTCATGATCCAGAAGAATCCTCACCTTTGCAACCATCACTATAGTCACTTCTTGAGAATTATGGCCTTTAAGACTGTAGCATGCAATGACAAAACCTCACAGAGGTATGGGTTCTGCCCGCACACTAATTTCACTCATTAAACAAGTGACTGGCTCCTATATCCCAGGCTCTCAGCACGCCTTTGCAAAATAACAGATTATTGCAGCTCTTGGACCTTTGATGCCTCTGGGAATAGTCAAAGCCACAGATGTCAAATATGTAAATGCCAAGATCTATTATAATTAAATAGTGCAGGCCTCCTTCAAAGAAAAAAAGCATGTTGGCTGTGCTGCACGTTCTCCAACCAAATCAGAATGTTAAAGCTCGAAGGTATCTGACCTCCCATTTTTTAAATTATGAAGATGAAATTCAGAAAGGGAAGGTAACTTATCCAAGATTACATGGCTAGCTATGATAGAAAGTTAGAGTTGGAAAGGACGTTAGAAAGTGAGGGTTTGAAAGGACTTTAGAAGCTGCTTATTCAATGTTCTCTCTGCCCTTTCCCATCTTAGGCTTCTCCATTTTACTTTTATCCATCAATAAAATGTTAACTTCAAAAAGAATATGGCAATTCTTGGGTAAAAGATGCTCTGGAAGTGTGAGTCCGGGAGTATTATGTGACTAATGTCTTAACTAAGAATAATAATATATTATGGACTAGTTTTAATCTCTTGTTTCACCTTGAACTGTTCAGGAAGGAAAATAGCCCACGGAAATTTTTTAAAAAGTCTTTCTCTATCTGAATTGAGAAAAGGTGACAGGCATAGTTGGAACATCTTTTAGGCAGTGCTGGTGAACTTCAGGCTAGGCCTTGTTCCATGAAATAATAAAAATTTTCAAAATAATGCAGACCATTCCCTTCCAGGGATGCTTTCTCTGTAATGTTTTAACCCCAAGAAATCTTTCTGTAAAAATCTATAAAAATCTGGAGTGTTCCAGGATACAATTTGCACATTCTCCAATTTAACTAAAACACAATCGATTTTTTGTTTTCTTTTTCTTTGGCTTAGCAAGGTTTTAAGATAGTCTCTTTCTGGCCACAGAGGGAGATGATTTGCCTCTAGAATACCCTTTCTGTGCTTGAGAGAGTCACAAGACTGCAAGCTCATGGAGGATGA
This sequence comes from Homo sapiens, assembly GCF_000001405.40. Taxonomy (NCBI): domain Eukaryota; kingdom Metazoa; phylum Chordata; class Mammalia; order Primates; family Hominidae; genus Homo; species Homo sapiens. Next base: position 70,161,630 of record NC_000014.9, on the reverse strand, counting down.
GAGTCAAGTAGAGGTGGTGACATCTCTCCCTTGGCCAACATCCCTCTCTTTCTCTTTCCTTCTGCCTTCAGTGGCAGTAGCAAAAGTCCTCCTTCTCTTTAGGTAGACAGTCAGCCACTACAACTGTGGCTTCCTGAAATCCTCAGTGGAGCTGTGTACTTGGCACAGATTTGTCTTGAAGAAGGGACTCCATTTCTGAGCCAGTTGTTGAATGGGGATACTTAGCAGTACAGTGAGGCATTTCCAGTAGGATTGTTCAACCACAATTGCCCACTTTCCAGGCCCAAAGGAATAATTGAAGGCTATGTAGACTTTTTTTTTTTTTTTTTTTTTTTTTTTTTTGAGATGGAGTCTCGCTCTGTCGCCCAGGCTGGAGTGCAGTGGCACATCTCGGCTCACTGCAAGCTCTGCCTCCCGGGTTCACGCCATTCTCCTGCCTCAGCCTCCCGAGTAGCTAGGCCTAATATATATATATTATACATATATATTTATATTTATATATATATATACCACCACGTCCGGCTAATATATATTTATACTTTTTTTTTTTAGTAGAGATGGGGTTTCACCATGTTAGCCAGTATGGTCTCGATCTCCTGACCTCGTGATCCACCAGCCTCAGCCTCCCAAAGTGCTGGGATTACAGGCGTGAGCCACCGTGCCCGACCATGCTATGTAAACTTTTTAGCAGAAGCTTTAGCTATTGTGTCCCGAAGGGCCCCAGGTCATGATGAAATGTCTTTTTTTTTTTTTGTCTCTTTTCTTCTTAATTACTGAGACTGTCAAAGAATATGTCAAAGCATGACATATTCCAACTCCAGGATCCATAAAACACCCCAAGTTCTGTGGAGACCCTATCACATCTGCAAAACTCTCCAGGAAGTCCAGAGCCCTCCTGGTTAATTTGTTTTAGGGACTAGGCATGCGGTATCCCCTGACAACACTGGATCAGCAATTCTCCTACCTAAGTCAGTCCCACACCATGTGCAGCAGAGTATCCAGTGCCCCTGCCCTGGTCTGCTCACATTGGTTTGCTCTCCAGAATAATAATTCCTCAATATCCACAAGAGATTGATTCCAGAACTACTCCGAGGATACCAAAAATCCTCAGATGCTCAAGTACCTGGTATAAAATGGCACAGTATTTGGCATATGACCTAGGCATATTCTCTCCCATATACTTTATTTATTTATTTATTTCGGGACAGAATCTCATTCTGTCGCCCAGGCTGTCACTCGCTTATTGCAACCTCTGCCTCCCAGGTTCAAGCAATTCTCCTGCCTCAGCCTCCTAAGTAGCTGGGACTACAGACGCATGTCACCACGCCTGGCTACTTTTTGTATTTTTAGTAGAGACAGAGTTTCACCATGTTGGCCAGGCTGGTCTCAAACACCTGACCTCAAGTGATCCGCCCACCTTGGCCTCCCAAAAAGCTGGGATTACAGGCGTGAGCTACCACGTCCAGCCCCCCATATACTTTAAATCATCTCTAGATTACTTATAATACCTAATACAATGTAAATGTTATATAGTTGTTTTAATGTATTGCTTTTTTTATTTGTATTGTTTTTTATTGCTGTATTATCCTTTTTTATGTTTTATTTTTTCAAATATTTTCTACCCGTGGCACCCACAGTTGGTTGGTGGAACCTGCGGTTGGTGGAGCCCATGGATGTGAAGGGCTGATAGTATGAGAAAACTCAGAGGTGCAGAGTTGGAGAGCACATCGGGGAGAATGTCAGCATGGGTTAAAAAAGACACACTGTGGTTGGAGATGATCACATGAATGGCCACTTCAAAAATGAATGGGTCTCATCCTCAAAGCAGGCTCTCCTGGGCACTGCTTGGGAAGGTGCTAATTGGAGCTTCAGGCAACAATAATAAGGGGATACAGGTGGGGATCCTGCCATGGGCGTAGCTTACTTTCTCTGGACTCTTCTGGGTCTTAAGGCCAGTTTCCTCATCCACTCAAAAGAATGACAGCAAGGTGAGCAAAGCAAGGCAGGTAAATGAGGAGGACTCTTTCTGGCTGTCCAACTTTTCATCAACTTCCCAAAGGTTTTTGGATGGGACATGAACACTCATTCCTTCTCCACCCTTTAGCTAGGCCCTGTCAACTCCAGGAGGAAGGTAGAAGAGGTCAGAGCTGTGGTCTTTCACTTATTCAAGATGTTTCCTTAGTGTTTTGTGTTTGGGTTTTTTTTGTTTTTTTTTTTTTTGACAGAGTCTTGCTCTGTTGCCCAGGCTGGAGTGAAGTGAAGTGGCATAATCTGAGCTCACTGCAACCTCTGCTTTCGAGTTCAAGCGATTCTCATGCCTCAGCCTCCTGCATAGCTGGGACTACAGGCATATGCTACCATGCCTGGCTAATTTTTGTATTTTTAGTAGAGACGGGGTTTTGCCATGTTGGCCAGGCTGATCTCAAACTCCTGACTTCAGGTGATCCAGCCACCTTGGCCTCCCAAAGTGCTGGGATTACAGGTATGAACCACTGCACCTGGCCCCTTATTGTTGGTTTTTAAAAGAGAAACTAAGCTGTGCTTCCAGAACCCAGTTTGAGAAAGTTTGAAGACCTGGCATAGAGCCAGTGACATATAATTGTTAGTTGAAGAAAGAGAGCTCCTTGATCTGCAAATAGAGCACGGCCCCATATTTAAATTCTGCACATTCTAGAAGCATTTTGCAAGAATCAAATGCTTTGAGGATTTTGCTAAATAACCATGGAGGAAAGCACTAGACAAATATTTTCAGATGGCATGAGAGTTATCATTCATAGGAATTATATTTCCACTCCTACCACTTACTGGGGACCCAAGTAAGAAATTACTTGGATAAGCAGAGGAGAATTTAAAGTTGAATGTGGTGGAACTTATTATGGAAAAAATATGTTTTTCTGAAAACTGGATATGTGTATATATATAAGTTCAGTTGTCATTTTGGAACCATCCTTACTCTTCCTAGCTAAGGATTAACATACATAGGTGCAACTTGACTAACTCTGCCTGGACCCAATTCAGTTACCTTTTGGTGGGTAGGGTTCATGAAGAAGCAGTTATTTGTGGAGTGTATAGAAACCACTCTATTGTAGGTTCTTTAGTTGGTACTTTCAAAATAAGTGACATCCAAATAGTAACTTAATATTCCAAATATGGCTGCAAAACAAATTGTCGATTATGGATGACTACTACTGCCATCTCTCCATACCAGTCCATCTTCTGCCAGGCTGTTTGGTCTTGATTTGTCGACCTTTTAGGTTTCTCCCCATGTATTCCACATGACCTTCACCAACCCCACTTCTATCTCCAAACGTCTTTCTGAGTTGTGGGGATGCAGATGTATTCTGCCACCATCACAAGGGCTAACCGAGCCCTGGCTGCGGATCTTCATTGTTGTTCACATTATTTCCATTCTTACACCCTACTTCATGTTTGTACACTATTTTCTTACATTTGCTGTCTCTTCTAAACATTCTTTGCTGCATCCACTTTTTCTCTATTTGTGCTCTAGGTGCTGCAGAGGCTAATGCTGGGTTTCCTTTCATTCCTCCTTGCACTCAGCACCTCCCTTCTCAATTCCTTTTGCCATGTCTCCACTTTAAATCTTAACCTACTCCAGATAGTCTTTTCCTTCACACTATTGGCATCTGTGCTTGGGTTGCTTTCAGTCTATTCTCTGATCTATGATTTCTTTGCATGATCAAGAAGGTGCCATGAAAGGATCCCTTAAGAAAGCCTGTCATTTAGCCAGAACGAACTAGCTTCATGATAGCACCAGGAAGACTGATATCTCCCAGGAAACAAACCACTCATGGTGGTGCTCTTTTTGCCTTCACTATGAAGTGTTTGTCTGCCTGTATGTGAAAACGAGAGGGTTTAATTGTAAGGATGCAGCACAGATTGGGACTGGCATCAGAAAGCCATTGGGGACTGAGGTAGCTCTAGAGACCGCTTTCTGTCTCCAGTGCTCTCCCTCCTGGGTGACATGTTTTCTGTCTCCTGGCATCTCTGCTTCTCTCTATGGGCTTCTTTATTATTTGCAGCTTGCAATGGTACCCCAAAGTCCTAGCTCATGGCTCCTCTCTGCATATATGCTTTCTGTTCCTACCCACAAAGCTCTTTCTATTCTTCTAGTTTAAATTTTCAAGAGAAGAAATCTGATTTTTTTTTAACCTGGTCATGTCAAAGACCACTGACCACATATGAGCTGGTTGCCCTGTGTCAAGTGCCCCCTTCTCCCACCCTCTTCCCCTCCCCATCTGGTCTGTCATAACTGAATGATGGAGTGGGAAATTGAAATTGCCATGGGAATTCCATGATAAGCTATCTAAACAGTTTTATCTATAAGTGGTAGACAGAGTCACTTAGAAGGGAGTCCCAGGTGAGACAGGCACCTGTCAACTCCAAACTGGCACACATTCTAAGGTCTGCAACACCCCAGAGAGAGCACTGATTTTGTAGTGGCCTGTACTGGGGCGGTAGGCTGGAGAATGGGAGAAATAGCCACTTCAGAATCCCCCAGCCCAAATGCATCAAGCTCACTATAGACTCTGCAGCCACGATTCAGCTGGCTTCTGCTCAGATCAACAGAAAACATTCTTAGTGAATGATGCTTGTGGCACATATCTCAAGGCTACCAGGGTCATTTCTTCCCATTTACTTTTTCTCTGATCTATCCTCTCCAGGACACTAGCGTCAGAAGATAATCTTCCGTCGTTTTCAGGTACACTATTTGGGTACTGAGTCACTTTCAAAGCCTCTTTCTGGGTTTGGATTTCCAGAGCAGCCTGTGCTGTAAAGCAAGACAGAAAGCTTCCCTGCCATTCATGCCTGCCAGGGATAGAATGACAGTACTCCTGAGGCTCTCCCTCCCCACCCCTCCCCTGCTGGACAGCTGATCTGCTGGACTCAGCCAGAGCCAGCAGGCACCCCCTCTTTATCCTAGGAGCTGCAAACTTGATGCCTTTCCAGGAAATCCCCAGAAGCTGGAGTATCCTCATCTACATGTGGCACAGTGTATGGTTGTGTCAGGTGCTCATGTCCCATTGCATAGGACTGGGGTGGAAAATAGGGACCGTCCTTTTGTGTCAGCTCCAGTCAATGAGTAGTGGCCATCCAGGGGGCCATCTTGGAAAGGACTTGTGAGGCTGTATCTGCGCTCAGTTGTAGATGTGAGAAGAAAAGGCCAAATATCTGCCAATCCTAGTCCTGGGATTCAAGATAGAAAGAACTGCATGGAGTGAAGAAACTAGGAGTCTCCATTTCACTGAGATGCATAAGAATGAAATTATTGTCACTATTTCTTCAATACTGGGCCAATCCTAATAAGAAAACCCTTTTTGAGTCTCTCTTTTCTTTATCCTACATATAACACAGAAGCTTTTTCTATTCCCTGGATGAACCCACAGGGACAGAAATTCTTGTTGGACAGGTGAAGCAGATAATTTCTTTATCAGACTAGAATCTTCCAGAAGCACTGCTAACCTAGTGAGTTTTGTACTCTAGACAGGTGGTTCTCAAGCCAGCTCCCCACCGCAGGCCTTTTTCATGGTCTGCCCCTCCCTGTGGAACCCATGTTTTAGGTTATTAGCTGATAATTGGATTTCTATTTTTTCTCATAAAATACAGCAAAAGATAGCTAGTGATATTATGATGAGTTAATGTAATTATAGCCAAAGCAGAGAGAAACAACATTTTAATTAACCTGTGTGGACTGCTGGAAGAATATAAACTTTCTATTTTGGGGGTTGAGTAGAGACAGAAATGAACACAGCCAAGGGCTGACTGTCAGAGGACATTTAACTGATGTAAAATGCTTTGAAATTATTGGGCACTCATTGTTTAAAGTTGTTTTTGATGATGGTAACTCCGTAAGGGGATCAGAACATGCTGGAAAGAATGGGCACAGCTTTGGTTACCTGGGCCTTACCACTGTTATTCAGGCCTCTGAGAAAGCTTACTATTGTTGTTATGTTTCTTACATAATAAAACTTCTAATATTTGTATGAAAACATAGAATTCCACTTTTAAAGATGTAAGGATTTTGTCATACCATTAGGGTTACTATGATCACTTGATTCTAGGTCTAAGAAATATTAAGTAATTTACCCGCGAACACAGAGTTTTAAGGGTAAGTATCAAAACCTTGATCTTCTAATACCACATATTCTCACTCATATGTGGGAGCTAAAAATATTGAGCTCAAAAAGGTAGAGAGTAGAATTGTAGTTATTAGAGGATGCGAAGGAGGATAGGGAGAGGTTGGTTAATGGATACAATGTGAAGTTATGTAAGAGGAGTAAGTTCTAGTGTTTTGTAGCACTGTAGGGTGAATATGGTTAACAGTAATTTAGTGTATATTTAAAAAAAAATAGACAGGATTCTGAATATTCACAAAGAAATGATAAATATTCAGCTGGGCGTGGTTGCTCACGCCTATATTCCCAGCATTTTGGGAGGCCGAGGTGGATGGATCACCTAAGGTCAGGAGTTTGAGATCAGCCTGGACAACATGGTGAAACCCCGTCTCTACTATAAATACAAAAAATTAGCTGGGCATGGTGGCGCACACCTGTAGTCCTAGCTACTTAAGAGGCTGAGGCAGGAGAATCGCTTGAACCTGGGAGGCAGAGGTTGCAGTGAGCCGAGATCACGCCACTGCACTCCAGCCTGGGTGACAGAGTGACACTCTGTCTCAAAAAAAAAAAAAAAAAGAATGATAAATATTTAAGGTGATAGATATGCTAATTACCCTGATTTGATCATTACACTTTGTATACATGTGTCAAAATATCACTCTGTATCCATACATATGTATAATTATTATGTGTCAACTAAAAATAAAAGGAAAAAAATCATTTCAGTGTATTTACAAAACATATGTAACCATTAAGAATAATGTTTTAAATTATATCTAAGGGTGTGATAAAATTACAGTATAAGATTGTGCTTGAAAAAGTGCAATAAGAAGTAAATATGTACAGATGAGAAAAAGTGCAAAGAACTAAGTCCTAAGCAGACTATACCTTTCCTACTGCATGGTACTTCTCTGGCCTTTTGCTTTGAAAGATTTTGCACCCAGCATGGCAAGTGGTTAGCAGAGGCAGCCATTCTCACTTGTGCGTTGGCTTTGGGAGCCATATATGTTGTTCAGCTGGGTGTGGAGTGGAAAGGCTGCATGTTGTATTAATGCATTGTTAAGAACCTCTAAGAGTGATTTCTTTTGGGAAGTGAGACTGACGGTCCGAATGGTGGAAAGACAACTTTTAATCTTTTACTTTACACTTTGTGCACTTTTAAATGTTTAACATGAGCATGCATTTCTTTAATAATAAAAATACAAAAAAATTTTAGCCCTAGATCTTCTGATTTTAAACTGCATATTCTTTCTATTGTGTTACATATTTTAGCATGAGAATAAGGTTATGAAGCTGGAAGTAGCAGGCTCCCTTTTCCTCATATGTAGGAAGTTAAGAATGCATTCTACGTTTCTTCTTTAAGGAGTTGGCTTCTTTCCTTTTAACATAGGGGTAACTGGGCCCAGGGAGTTTGGCAAGGGCCAAATAAAGTCCTTAATGCCCAGCTCAGAAATCTGGATTCACCATCCTTGACTGCTGGCTCCAACCCACCCTCACCTGAGCTGGTCTGCAGAGGATTCTTGTTTGTGTCACTTCATCACCAGCAACTACCGACAGATGATGCTTTGGCCGGCTGCCTGGGTAACAGGGCGAGGCTGGCTCAGGACCATGTTTTCAGATCAGGGGACCTCCTTTGATGCCATGTCCATGGTGTCCGAGGGCAGCCAGGATCAAGGGCTAGACGGGGCAGTGATGAGATGAGAGCAGGAGGGGCTCAGCTGCAGCCCCAGGAGAGCCTATGCCAGCCCTGTTGACCAAGGAGGACAGAAGCAACAGGAGAGCGGAGGCAGAGGGGTGAGTGTCTATCGCTCAATGTATAATCGGCAGACATTTGGGGAGCTCATACTGTGGGCTAAGCACAGGGAAGAAAGGCACAGTCCCTGTCCTCAGGGAGGTCACAGTTGATAGGGAAGACAAGCATATGTGCTAGCTGCTATAGAAGGGGGAACCACTGAGGGCTGTGGCCATACAGAGGCAACACCCCCTTCTTGTTTTTTTGTCAGGGATTCAGTTTGGCGTCATTAGAAGTGACTTGCACAACCCCCTCCTCCAGTCAATTCAGAAGGACTTGTTAAGCAGGAATGATGAATTAGCTTCAGCTTGTGGGGCACACACAGATGGAAGTATAAGGTGGCCTCAGGAGTAAGTAAATCCCCATGCAAGCTGTGTCCTTAGACCAGAGCAGCACCCGGTTCTTCCCCATTTCTAGTAAAGGTGCCTCACACACCACCAGGACACAATTTATGCCTGCAGAATGAATGAATGAATGAATGAGTGAATTCCTGGAACCTCTTCTGCTTATGTGCCACACCAGGTTGCAGCAAGCCCAGGGACACCTGGGACTGGAATTGGGCTCTCAGGTGTAAGGACCAGGGAGCACCCACCATTTTGCATTCTTCAGCCCTTCCTCCTCTCCTGTCCCAGCTTCAGCAATATCCACAGAGCCCTCTGAGCAACTCTGAGCCTCTCCACAGCCTGACGCCTGCCTGGGCACCAGCTCTTCAGAGGGTGTTTCTGTGCTGCTCAGCTACCTCTGAGCCTGGGCTGCCTTTGATGCTCAGGAGACACCCTGTAATTCAATTAAGCCTTCTCTCCAGGGAGCATGTAATTATGTCCTATCTGGGCCTTGTAATGACAGCCCCCTGCCACTCTACAGGGAGTTGCCCTGCTCAGCTGCCCAGAACCTTTCCCTGGGAGGAAACTAATCTGCTTAGCCCAGATTGGACGCAGTTCTGCACAGCACTTTTCCGAATGCCTCTGAAATGAGTCCTCACTGACAGAACGGGCCCACTCTGGGGGAACTGAGGGCTCTCTTGGTCCTGCACTGCTCTTTGCCATACAGATCTGTCTGCCCAGGATTTTTCTTGGGTGTGTAGGAGGCTGAGAGAGCTCCCCTTTCTTCTCATGGCTAAATCCCTTGGTCTTTCCAGCCCTCCTGGGGGTTAGAAGGGAGAGGGAAAAAAAAAAAGACTGAACTTGTTGTTGTTGTTTTGTTGTTGTTGTTGTTTGCCTGTTTTCTATGTTGTCTTGTGGGGAGAGGGTATAAGATTGATTGACAGAGTGGCACACTTCCCCTGCAAATTCATCATTTGAATTTCTCAGGTAAGATGTTCACATTTCTCTGTTAAGATGCTCCAATTTCTCTGGTTAAGATTTCTCTGGTAAGATGCTCATGAATTGGTGGAGGTGTTGGCGGGATGTGGGAAGTGTGCCTGCTCTTTCTGAGTTTTGGGGGAAGTTGCCTTAATTCTCTGCATGACTTTCTTTGCTCCTTTGGGCTTCATTTCTGTGCAATGTAGTCTGACATGAATACTGCTCAGGGAGGTGTTGCTTCCCACTGCCCACGCCACTGGAAACCAGTAGCCCAGGTTTACTCGAGTCCTCCTTTTGAGGAACCCAAATTCTTTCATTTCTTTTATGTGAGATCTGCCCAAAATGCCATTGGCAAGCTGTACTGGGTTGAATAGTGTCCTTCCTCCTCCCAAATGTATGTCTACTCCAAACCACAGGATACTACCTTATTTGGGAATAGGGCTTTTGCAGGTGTAACCATTAATAGTTATGATGAGGTTATACTAGATTAGAATGGGCCCTAGATCCTATGACTGGTATCCTTACAAGAAGGCCATGTGATGACAAAGACAAAGAATGGAGTGAGGCACCCAAGGAACTCCAAGGATTGCTAGGAAACACCAGAAGCTTGGAGGAAGGCATGGAACAGATTCTCCTCTCGGACCTCTAGAAGGAATCAGTCCTGCTGATACCTTGATTTTGGACTTCTAGCCTCCAGACCTGTTGGGGAGAATACATTTCTACTGTTTTAAGCTACCACGTTTGTGGCGATTTGTCACAGCAGCCATAGGAAACTAATACATACAACCTGCACAATGCCTACTCCAGCATTCCATAGCAAGTCAAGGGCCTCACAATTATGTCCAAAGGACTGATAGAAGAGCGACCTCTGTGCTACTTGCCCTCAGGACGCTGACCCACAGCTCTCAAGGCAGGAGTAGGCCAGAGCTCATTCAACAACTTTGTTATATAGGGGTTCCAATTGTAAACCTTTTGAATTCCTGTTTGCAAGTAGATGAGGGTTGAAAAATAAATGGCCACTTTCTCTAAGCCACATACCCCAATCTGTTTTGTTACTTCATTACAGCTGTTATAATGGCCTCCTCTTCTATCTTCCAATCTCCATAGCCCTGGTTCCTTGATAGTTCTTTTTTTTTTTTTTTCTTTTTTTGAGGCGGAGTCTCGCACTGTCGCCTGGGCTGGAGTGCAGTGGCACGATCTCGGCTCACTGCCACCTCTGCCTCCCAGGTTCAAGCAAGTCTCCTGCCTCAGCCACCTGAGTAGCTGGGATTACAGGCACCTGCCACCATGCCTGGCCAATTTTTTGTACTTTTAGCAGAGGTGGGGTTTCACCATGTTGGCCAGGCTGGTCTTGAACTCCTGACCTCGTGATCCACCCACCTCAGCCTCTCAAAGTGCGGGGATTACAGGCATGAGCTACCGCGCCTGGCCAGATAGTTCTTAAACAACTGCCCAGAAGTTCCAGCCTAGGCAGGGGCAGCCATGAACTGCATTGCTCATTTCTGCTTTTTGACCTTTTCGATGGCTGAACTCTAGGCCATGGAAAACAAGGACCCACTGTATAGTTAAGAGTCATTTTGTGACTAGGGAGACAAAAAAGGGCCTATTCTCCAAATCCCCTTTCCCTCTGGAGTTCCTCGGTGCCTTAAAGCTTGTCCTGAGCTACAGGTGTGTTACCTGCTTATCCCAAAATGCAGGCATGTTACCTGCTTTCCTCTGCAAAGAGAGGCAGGCCTGGCTGGGGCACAGCTGAAGATGTCAAGGCCAACCTAAGGGCAGCCAAGCTATGGCTGTCTGTGACAAGAGGAGAGCAGCGGTGATGGGAGGGTAGGAGGCATTGAGTTCATGTCCGGGTTTGCCTCCTACCCTCCTATCACTGCTTGATGATCCTATCACTGTCTTGATGAGTTCAAGACAGAAGTTTGCCTCATCATTGCCACAATAAAATCACCAATAACAGAAGTGTGAAAGCAGCGATGTGAGTGGAAGCCCATATATACACAGGGGGTAATAGAGCAGCATGATTAAATATGTGGCCTTGTTATCAGACAGGCTGATTTGGAGTCCCAGCTACTTGTTGGTGACCTGAACTAGAGGAAGTTATCTAACCTTTCATTTTACTCATTTACATAACATGGCTAATAATAGCACCTACCTTATAGGGTTATTGTGAGGATTGAATACAATTATGCAATATAAAACGTTTAGCATAGTGCCTAGTCTAAATTCCTCACCAGGGGTATGATGTACTAGTTTTTAGTTAAGTAATTAGTATCCTGGACATGTCACAGCCATTTGACCTATCTGGGCCAGCGTTTTGCTCAGGTTCCCCCAGCAGTAATTGTATTCCCTCCCCAATCCCGGGATTAGCTTTTAGGAAGAAACAGTTGATCTAAAGATAGAAAGTCAGAGTACTGTCTGGAGGAAGGTAGAGGGAAATGTCATTATCTGGGTTTTCTTTGATGATGTCAGGGAACATGACAGGCTGCTCCCAAAGACAGAGCAGCCCCAGGACAGGGAAGAAGGTGACCTTGAGGTTGACTCCTCTGCATCCCGATGTGGACGTTATGGACTTGTTTTGGAGATGAAGGGAAAGAAAGATGGAATGTAGAAAGTGAAGGAGAATAAAAGAAGTGGGAGGAAGAAGGGCTGGGAGGAGGATGGGCAAAGTCTTTCTGGTCTCAAGGATAATTACATGTGAAATCACTTGCCAGTGGGACTCTGGGGCTGGAGCAGCTACAATAATTACAGTACAGGCTGCAGAGGGCTCTTGGGCATGTCTTGGAGCAGCCTGTAGGCAGTACTGAGGCCTCTCTCACTAGACCCATCTCCCAGATCACATAGTACACACACCTTCCACCCCCGGGCCTGTTAATGATCAAAAAGCTTAAACAGAACAATTACAGCTTCAGAGTGGAACCATATCTCTGGGCTCCTGTGATGAAAACCACAAGCCTGTCAGGCTGGGGCTGCTTCACATGGAGGGCCCTGCTCTTAATGGCCAAGTGATCTGGAGCAAGACCCGTGACTCTCCCATAGTGCTGTGGATGGTGCTGCCTCTCCCCACGCATCCCCAGAAGAGGAAGTTCAGTAACTAAGGAATTAACTATTCTCCAGCCTGATTCTGCTTTTCCCAATCAGGGCTTTATACCTTTCTTTTTCATCCCTATATTTGGAGATGAGTCACCCTTGCCTTCATTTTACCTAAGCAAGGCAGTTTCCTGTAACCTAATGAAGTGCCAAACAATACTGTGATTTATTTAGTACTTACTGTGTGCCAGGAATTCCAGCAGGTGTTGGACATTTATGATGTATGATCCTTACACTAAGCCTGCAATGGTGCAACCCCAGCCCTGACCACTCTGTGCTTCCCTTTTCACAACACAGCTTGTCACTAAATCCAAGTCAGGAATTCCAGGTTAGGCTTGAGTTGTGCAGAGCCCTTAACTGAAATTTGCCATGGTTGAGGCATGATTGCAATCACTGACAACTCCTCCCGGCTCTACACACCTACTTGTCATATTCACGCCCTGATCACGGCCCCACTCGCATCTCTTCCCACTTTAGAAGTTCTTTCCTATAGAACACGTTGCTGCTGCCCTGTTCTGGTCACTGATCAGCCCTGGCCTAACCACTGGCTAAGCTTTGTGCTTGCACATAGCTGGTTGAATCGTATGTATTGCTGTTTGTGTACATCAAAAATATAATAATAATATCGGCAATTTTATGTGTTTCATTCAACATGAGGGACCCAGCATTCTTACCTTGTCGCTTTGTAAACCCTGCTGCTCTCAAATCTCCACTAGCTGTTTCCTGAGCAGAAGGAGATAAAAGGCTGGCTCACACCCCCATGTTTTTACTGGTCACAGTTACTGCCACCATCCAAGGCTGAAGAGACTTCCTTTGTGTTAGGGCTAAAACCTTAGTCATTGTATCTAAATGTCTTCTGTATTCCTTTCCTCAAAAGAAAAAAGTACCCTCTTCTGCCAACCCTCTCCCATGCCAACTAAACAAGCAAGCAAGCAAACAACAAAGAAAAGGTGATATTACAGATGCTGCTCAGCCTATGATGGGGTTACATCCTGATAAACCCATCACAAGGGATGTAATTCCATTGCAAGTTACAAATACCATAAGTCAAAAATGTATTTATTTCATATAACCCACAGAACGTGATAGCTTAGCTTAGCCTACTTGATCATGTTCAGAAGACTTATATTCGTCTACAAGTGGACAAAAACATATAAAACAAAGCCTATTTTAAAATAAGGTGTTGAATATCTCATATAATTTATTGAATATTGTACTGAAAGTGAAAAATAGAATGGTTTTCTGGATACTCAAAGTATAGTTTCTACTGAATGCATATCACTTTTGCACCATCATAAACTTCAAAAATTGTCGGTCGAACCATCCTGAGTCAGGAATCCTGTCTGTACAGGGTATAAAGGAGGAAAGCATCAGCTTTGGAGGCAGGTGGACCTGTGTTTGAACCCTGATTCTGCTAGAGCTTGACAATGCATATTCGTTTTCTATTGCATAACTAATTACTACAAACAACACATTTATTTCTCAGTTTTCATGAATCATGAGTCCAGGCACAATTTAGCTGCAGTTAAGGTGTTAGCTGGGGCTGCTGTCTTATCTGAAGCATGGGGGTGGGGGTGTGGATTCCAAGGTCAGGTGGTTGTTGGCAAAATTAATTTTCTTGCAGCTATAGAACTCATGGCTTGCTTCTTCAAGGACACGGGGAGAGAGAATCTCTCACATCTTTTAAAGGGTTCACCTGATTAGGTCAGGTCCACTCAGGACAGTTTCCCTTAAAGTCAAGGCTTAATAGTCAACTGATTAGGGACCCTAATTATATCTGCAAAATACCTTCACCATTGCCATGTAACATAATCATGGCAAATAATCACAGGTCCCAAATGTTCACAGGTCCCACTCACACTTGAGGGAGGGGATTATATAGGGCATGTTCTTGCGGAGAGAAGGAATCTTACAGCCACATTGGAATCTGTCTTCCATGCTATTTGACCTCAGGCAAATTGACTAATCTCTTGAAGGTTCAATTTCCTTACCTGGAATAAAAGGACAATAAGATCAGCCATATAAGGCTATGACAAAGACTAAATGAGATAGAATAGGCTGGAAAAGTCTTGCAGATAGCAGACACAAGTATATAACAATTTCCCTCCTACTGTTCCTTTTGTTTTTCACCTATCCTGCAGTCTCTGTCACTTCAAATACCATAGAAAACCTTTCCAAGCAGCCCAAATCATGCCCCCAAATAGTCACGCCTCATTATTCATAGCAGTTATGTTCCATAAAGTTAGCACAAACTCCGAATGAGTGAATCCTAAAGCGTTGCTCCTGGAGGAAATACAGGCTGCTGGTCACAATATTTTTATCAACTGATCAATATATACCTTGTCTTATGTGTGTTTCTGCTTCAAGACACTTTATTTAATATATACGTTGATTCATTAACTCTGAACTCTCTAGGCAACAGCATTATAACTCCTGCCTTCACAAAGCTTATCTAACACACACATTTCCTCCTCAGGCACATCCCAGCCTTCTTGCACTTAGGATTCAGCAGTATGCTTAAGGGCCATTTTCAACAGCAAACTCATCAGCGCAAACACAAACATGTGAAAAACGTAGCACTAAAGAGACTGCAAAAAGGACACTGGCTTACAGCATGGAAGCTGGAAGGAGAAGGCAGAGAATCACCTTGTTCCACTTCAGCTATGAATATGCAGTCAGGCCACCCAGTCATTCAAATTTTATAAATATACTCTAATATATATATAAATACCAGGCAGGGTTATTTTTTTCCTCAAGTCATTTTTCTAATTTTTTTTAAATGAATAGATAGAAGAGCTGAAGTAAGGGTCAGGAGCAAGAGCTCTGCTTCCTTTTCCCTTGCTGGGCTTCGTTAGAGAGCCATCATCTCCTCAATATGTCTCCCAACTCTTCTAGGCATTGGATGAGTTTGCTGCAGATACGAAACCCAACTTTGCCAGTCACTTCATACTAACAGGTGAAATGTAGTGGAGGAGCCTTTTGAAGACAGGGACTCAGCCCCCCATTAGCCTCATTGCAGACCTAGATTCCTGCCAAAATTAATTTGGCTGGAACTTCCCAGCCATGGCATTGTCGACATTACACATCTTCCACTGTAATGTCAATTACCATTTTATTCAGCCGAATGCTGGAGAGTTAATGTTCAAGTGGTTAGAGCTGGCTACGGGTGGGCTGAACAAGATGCCTTTTCCTTCATTTCCCCTGCCTGTGGTGAAGGATTGTAACCAGCCCTGGCTGGCAGCACTTTGAAGCTCACCCAGAGTGCTCCTGGGGACATCTTCTACAGAGCCTATCATTTGGACATGCTGTCTTCTGGGCCTGTCTTCCTTCCTTCCTTCTTCCCTCCCTCCCTCCCTCTTTTCCTTCCTTCCTTCCTTCCTTCTTTCCTTCCATCTGCTTTAAAACCAGCTGCCTTGAGTGCTTGTCTTGGCGCCCCTCATTAGTGCCATTGCAATCATCCCTCCTGCCTACCCTGCTAACCACAGCTTGTTAGTCCACAACAGCAACAGCTGTGTGCTGGGGTGCAGCAGCTGGAGGGCCAAAGGTAGGGCTGGGGGACAGGGTGTTGGGATGGTTTTCTGGGGCAGATGAGTTTATACGTTTCTTTCATGTCCCCTTCCTCCCACATAGACTTTTATTTCCCCAAAGGAAAACAGAAAACAATGATCTGTTTGACAGTGTTGCTATCATTGGGCATCAAACCTATCATCTAAGGGGAATCCCCCTGTATAATCAGTCAGCCAAATGGAGCAGGACCCTGTGTTTTGTAGCTGATACAACAGGGCAGCATCTCTAGTGAGGGGGCCAGGGCTTCTATTTCCTTCATTAAAAAATGAAACAGCAGACCTGATTCCATATTTAGAGATTACACTTAGTTGCCACTGTGGGTGTGCAGGCACCAACCAAACCCAGTTGGCACCGTTGTCTTTTCTCTGCAATGATGTATTGAATTTAATAATGGAGGTATATGAAATTCAGAGTGATTGGAACTGAAGGTTTAGGGGCTTTGTGTAAAATTGATATGTAAGGGATTTGGAAGTAGGTGAGGGATTCTTCCCCAATACTTATTCAATTTTGGAGTCAAATAACCAAGCATTTACAAATAGCCAAAAAAGAAATTGAAAGAGGGTTTAATCCAATAAATTTTCATGCCTCATATGAACCACATCTTATAATAAGAATTATGCTTTTTCATTTCATACTCAGTTAACAAATATGATTTGTGAGCACCTGGTAAGTTCAGGGCACTAGGCTGAAAGGGGTTACCAAATGTCTTCATTTAACAAAGTCCAGCTGAGCTCTTACAGGTACCAGAACTGTGCCTGGGCTGTCATATGAAGATGAATGTAAGAGTGTGTCAGGCCTTCAAGAGCTTACAGTGTGTCAGGAGACATCAAACAAGTGAGCCAATAAAATGATACTGCCATTTTAGAAATAGCCTGAAATTCATGGAGTTCACAGTCTTGTTAGGAAAGTGAAACATAAACCTATAAGCATTAAAAAATAACTGTTGAAGACAGTAACGGAAGAATGCAACTGGCAACTGAATGATATAGGTTGTGATGACTGTTAAATATCATGAAAAGAGACCATGATGAGCTGAGGCACTCCAAGAGACTTCTTTTTGGAGATATGTTTGGAGCCAAATCTTGAAGATTTAATTGCTTTTTTCTTTTTTTTTTTTTAGGTGGAGTCTCGCTCTGTTGCCCAGGCTGGAAGTGCAGTGGCATGATCTCTGCTCATTGCAACCTCTGCCTCCAGGTTCAAGCGATTCTCCTGCCTCGGCCTCCTGAGTAGCTGGGATTACAGGCGTGTGCCACCATACCCAGCTGATTTTTGTATTTCTAGTAGAGATGGGGTTTTGCCCTGTTGGCCAAGCTGGTCTCAAACTCCTGACCTCAAGTGATCTACTCGCCTTGGCCTTCCAAAGTGCTGGGATTACAGGCATGAGCACTGTGCCTGGCCTTTTTTTTTTTTTTTTTAAAAAAAAAAAAAAAAAAAAAAACAGGAAGTTTTCGTTAGTTTTTTTGTTTGTTTTACTTCCCATAAAAACTCTTTGTGTCACATGGAGGTGAATGGAAAGAGAGGCTGTGGCAACAGACGGAGACTTTTCTGATATCAGAACCCAGTCCCATAGACCAGAATGTATGCTTTCAATCCACGTTGTCTGGGTCCATCCTATTGAGTGCCCTGCCCCCACAGCGGGGTATGGAGAAGAGTCAGACACAGCCCCAGTCCTCACGTAGCTCACAATCCAGTGGAGGAGACGGACTCAGAAACAGATAGAGATGAAGCCATGAGATCAGTACTGTCCGAGGCCATGGCCACGGTTTTGTGGGAACCCACGAGAGGGAATGACTAACTGTGGGGAAGAAGAGGGAGAGGACCAAAATGCAGGGGAAGTGCTCACAGAGGATAAGTAAGCAGTGAGGTGCCATGAAATGAGTATACACCTGACAGCCGTGTAACAGCTCAGAGCCTGGGTAGAGGGGAATAGAGCTGCTGGTTCTCTGGGGGGAAGAGAGGGGTATGGGATTCTGGAACAGAAGCACCAAAACCAGCAGGTTATTGGAGCTGTTAGTGCTCAGATCAGCAATGGGTGCACAACCAAACCATTCTCCTAGGGATGAGTTCTTTCCTGTGGATGAGGGCTTCTCAGCCTGGCTTCTCCCGAGAATTACCCGGGAAGCTTGAAAAGTACTGATGCCTGGAACCTACCTCCAGAGAGTTGGATTTCATTGTGTTGACGTGGGGCTGGGATATCAGTATATTGTTTAAGCACTCCAGGTGATTCTGATACGTAGCTGTGATTGAGAACCCTTGCCCTAAGCTATCCATCTGCACTCCAGGGGTGCTCCCAGGCCCATCTGTTTGTAAATGGACAGGTGTCTTGAGGTAACAAATGTGCCAAGGCTCTGGAGCCAAGCACGCCTGGCTCCTTAGTGCCTACTTAGTGACCTCAGGCAAGTTACTAAATGGCTTAAACTTTACAAATCCTTAATTTGTAAAATGTGGGCAATGATAGTACCTCCTCACAGGATTATTACGAGGTTTACACGGAATACTCTCAGCTCATAATAAGCACTTGCACAGGCCTCATGGGCTAGGCCCTCAAAACTTAACGCATCTACAGGCAACAGCCATATGAAAGGAATTTTATACCACCAAGTCAAAAAATCTGTGAGCACTGCTCAGAAGCAAAAGCCTGTCTCCAACAGCGCTCATTTAAGGGGTGGGCGAGCTACAGAGAGAAGAATGAGCCCCCACAGGGTAAGCTGGGGGTAGCTGGGGACAGAATGAGACTCAGGAAATCACTTGAATATTGATTATATTTGTGCTCAATAATAAAATAACGAAATGAGTACAGCCCTAGACCTAAACATTGTGGGTGAGGCAAAGGCAATGCGTTAATTTTGCATCCACTGAGGAAAAACTCTAAAACGGTGACTTCTTTTTTAAGGGACCAGAAGAATCTAGATTATATTTAGTCTAAGTCAATACATACGACAGAACCTTGCCCTCTAGACTTGATAAGAAAGAAGTAAAATAAGAGAAAGAATAAAAAACCCTTCCACCAAAATACTAACATTCAGATAATGACTTTTTAGTTAGGTCTCCTGGAGAGGAGGTTCCCTCAGAAATGAATAGATTTCTCTTCTAGTGCAATCATCAAAAGGTAATGCATGGACTTAAGTGTGATCCCCAAGAGAAAATCAATGACCTTTCTGTGTTTGCCTTTGAGAAAATCAGCCAGTCTATGGTTAAATTAGACATATTTTTTCTCCTTGGTCAAGATTAGTGGGACCAAGAATGCAGTCTTACACTCCTTCTAGCAAAGAATTACCTGATGCCTTATTTCACACAAATTTGCAAAGTTGTATGGACGTTGTATCTTATTTTAAGGAGAACTGGTGATCAAATGATGACTATTTCAATAGTGGTTCATTTACACCACCACCCTCACCCCACATCCTGCTTTCACCTGAATCTGAACGATCATAGTCAGTCTGAGATTCTGAAGGTTTGAAATTCCTTTTCTGAGCTCTGCAAGAACAGCATCTCCCAAGAGAGCTCAGGGCAGACTGTCTGGGAGAGATTGGAAACCTGTCTTTTGCAGTAACATGAATTGGTTGAATGGTCACCCTCCATATCAGGCCTGCTTCTCCCATTGGGTTTCTGATCAGCCCAACTTGGGTCTCACCCTTCTGATTTCTCTCTCCTGGCTCACATGGGGCTGCACTGGCCATTAGGTGCCAGGCTTGGCTCCGTGGAACCCATTGGCCAGCTGGGCTCTGTGGAGCCCTAAGGCAGGGCTCTGGTCACTGGTGAGAGGGAGGCCATTGGAGTCACTGGGGTGGACCTACAGACCCTAGGGTTAACAGCTAGGTGGGTGTCCTCTTCAGAGAAACGGGTTACAAAGTGAAAGAAAGTTACACTGTGAGGTCAGCCAGGGAGGAAGACAGAGAGCTGATATAAGATAGGTACTGATTCCCTGGGGATGTGAAAGGAGGGTAATATTCCTAAAATGATAGCATTTAGCTTCCAGTATACATTAATTGATTCCTGATATTCATTAAAACTAAACGCTATTTCCTTGATGTCTCATCCAAAGCCGCACCACTCTTCCCACTAAGTCTGAGGGGAGCTTGTTTTGTTGACAAGTGTAAGAGGTTGAAGAGGGACCCATGAACTCTTTTGTCCTACTGAAGAGATCCACAGATGGAAACAAATGCTCCTACCACATTTATGAACTGCTGCTTTGCAGTCCCGCTTCTGCTATCATGCACAGGAACTGACTAAGCTCCAAAGCCAGAGGATGTAAATCTCCCTGTAATAAATGTAAGTCATTTATTAGCTACATACACTTCAGCAAGTCACCTAACCTGCAAATTTCAAGCATGTGAATCTTGGATCTTTCATGTGCTAGCTGTGAGACTTTGAGAAATGTATTTAATGTCTCTTTGCTTCCTTTTCTACCCACACAATGGGTATAATAATGTCTACCATATATCTTTGCAGCAAGGTCTAAATGGGGTGATACATGCTGAATACATTTCCAACAGAGTCTGTGCAATGATAAGCTCTTTCCAAATGTTAGTTAAAGCTAACCAACTAACCCACCAACAAACCAACCTCTTAGCCAGGACTGATGGAAGGAGTCTGTGAGAGAATGCATTTAAAACACTTGGCACCATGCCTGACAAGAGTAAGTACTCGATAAATCAGTTATTGTTATTATCGCATCGGTATTATGACCATTATCCTCTTCTCTATAGGCTTCAGGTTTTCCTGTCTTTTTATCACAGCAGTATTCCAGCAGAAGCCTTTGATTTAACTAAGTCTCTACTGTGTGTGTGGCTAGATGCTATAAAGCATCCAGAGAAGTGAGAATTTGGTCCTGCTTTTAAGTAGCTTATAGTCTAATTAGGGGGAAGTAATCAGATAGAAAGGAAACTAACAATATGCAAAAGGAAACTCATAGTTTGTGGTAAATGCCAGGTGCTGCTGATAGTGGCTTCAGAGAGATCTCATAGATGCTATAGGAGGTCAAAGGAGAAGCGTGCAGCTTGAGCTAAGTTTTCAGGGAAAAGGGTGAAAGAATTAGTCATTAATGTACACCTACATTACCTGCCAGACTCCATTCAAAAATATTCTTACCAAATCATCACAATACCTTGTTGGTAGGTACTATTACTATTTTACAGAGGAGGAAAGTGAGGCAAAGACACATTAAATAATTTTCCCAGAATCCCAAGGTGTGAGGTGGAGCAAGGACACAAATCCATGGCTCTAAGTCCCTCCTAGTATATCCTGCAAACACATCTGGAATTAATGCAGAGAGGAAGGGGAGAGGCAGTGTTCTGCAGGAGTTCAGAGCCATGATAACCCTTCTTGTGTGGCTTTTGGTAAGTTATTTTACCTCTTACCCTCTGTTTCCCCATCTGTTCAATGAAGGTTGTATATACACACATTATATGGCCGCTGTAAGTGTGCAGTGATATGATGCATGGGGACTCAGTTCATGAGGCAGTGTGAATTCTGAAGGTATCACAATGGGACAGGTGTTTTTTTCTCCACTCATTTTCTCCGAAAGTCTTTTGTTTTGTTGCCCTCCCTCTTTGGGGCATATGCTTTCAGCTCATACCTTAATGACATCAGAATCTGCAATTTCCTGGCAACTTTTGTGGTTAAAATTATTCTGCCCTTCCATTTTAAAGCACTAATATCAAAGGTATTAGGTGCAAAATGATGATAAAAATAATTGCAATTTTTACCATTAAAAGTCATGGCAAAACCACAATTACTTTGGCACCAGCTGAATATTTTGAAACTCCCTACTCTGATGTTAACCAAGTTCATGATTCAACGAACTTGCAGAGGGGTAGGGGAATTTCAAGGGAAAGGGGGAGATGCCTGGGGTTGTCACACACTCTGTCTTTCATCCTCTATTGACATGTTGGTTATTTGGAGATGGTATTCAGTTCCACTATAGCCCCTCAGTCACTGTAGACCCTCTCAAAGGGGCAATCATGTTTCCCTTAGGTCAGGTCCATTCATCTAACCCCTCTCCCGGGGGCATCACCTTGTTTGTTCCAGCAGCTGTCTGGCCAAACTCACACCTCCTCCTCACCCTCTAGCCCTTATGATCTGCTTTGGGGAGCCATGGGAACCCCTAGTTTCCTCTTTCATACCCACTGAGATTCACAAGTAACTAAGGTCAAGGCGGGGCTTCATTGCCTTTCTGCAGATACCTTACGCTACTGTTCCTCCTCGCCTGGCTGGCTCCACACTCCAGCAGACCTTCTGCTGGGCGAGAAGCTGCAGGCCTGAATCTCTGTGTTCTCATATGGCCCCAACTCTTGGGATTACACTAGCTCTTGTAAGAACTCAATGCTCTGCTCTGCTCATTTTGATGCCATCAAAGAGGGCTTGCAAGTTACCAGCTGGGAGTGAACACCAGTGTCCTCTTTTTAGAGGTACCCCTAATCTTTCTGAACAATTTTGCTGGCACCCCTTCACTTGGCTTTGCCGGGGTAAGAGGGGGCACTTCTCTCCTTTCCCTCATGAAAGGAGGGAGAGAAGCCAAAAATCTCCCTACTAGTCAACAACTCAGGCACCCCTCCTTCTCTCCTCTATTTTATAGACTGGGAAGGGAGTGATGGTTGTTGGAGGTGGCAGAGCCAGTTCAGCTGCCTTTTGTGAAGTCCTGAAGGAGGTGTCTATCCTCAACTGCTGGCTTCTGTCCTTAAGCCTGGGGAGAATTAAGTCCTCTTTGCCTCAGTTTGGCACTCCAATTGCCAACATTGGGACAGCAGGAAAAGTTCCATCCAACATCCCATTAAATATGTAATGTGTATTAGCACAGCGCCTGGCACTGGGCAGGTATTTTCTAAGTGATAGCCAATGCGAAGCCTACTTTATTATTTTCCTCTTTGCTTAACCTACAAGGTGTCTAAGACCATTTGTTTGTCCACACATAGTAAGATAAACAGCACTGAGACTGTGGTCCTTTCTGCCCTGTGTCCTTATCCCACCTGGGAATCTGGAAAGCCAAGCCTAGACACACTCGTTCCACAAATGTTTACTGAAGCTTGTTCTATTCAAAGCACTGTACAGCTACAAAGACCATCTTTTCTGAACTCCAAACCAGGCCACATGGTTGGAATAACTTCAAGTATGGAGACCAAGAGAAAAGGTGGTTGTTGTCAGCAAAGCTCTGAGTCCACACCTTCCAGGAACTTATAGTTGATGCAATGGTGGGAGAAGTCTGAACCTGGATTCAATCTGCTTGATTCCGATGAATGGTGCAGTAGGCAGAGCCATGAGTTCAGAGCAGGAAGAAACCACTGGTTCAAAGAAGCATCTGTCACATCGAAGCTGCTTTATAGTCTGTTGGGAAGCATGCATAATAATTTATTCTTTCTTTCTTTCCTTTGGTCAACAAAGATTTCTTGAGTCCCTACTATGTGCCAGGTACTCTTCTAGGTACTGAAGATGCAGCAGTGAACAAAGAAGATACAATCCCTGCCCAGCGGAGCTTACATTCTAGTTATCGAAAGTCCCTTTCTCAGTGGCTGCTCTCTTTATTTGAGAAACCATGGGCTGTTCTCCTCCCATCCTAGGGCTGCTGGCTCCACAGAGGCACACAGTCCATCAGGATGCTCTGCCAGCCACCCACCCACTCAAGACCAAGGGTTACACTGTCAGTGTGAGCAGGGACACTCCCGTCTCTGCTACCTCCTTTCTCCTGAAAACAAGATCTCAGGGAACATCTGCCATCCATTTTCCCTCCCTGGGGAGTGACAGGAAAGGTGTATGGAGGAGATTGAGCGGAGTGATGGATTGAGGCACTGTGAAAGTGAATCATTGCCTGACATGGGAATGAGGAGACTTGCTTAAAGGACAAGCCATGCTAAGTCATCCATCGTTCTCCCCTAAGGAGGTGAATTGAAGTTCCCATTTTTCCCAGGGAGCCAAATTAACAAGGTGCTGGGAGATTTCCAAATTAGAAAAAAAAAAAAAAAAAGGCACCACCAGCTCTCAAATCAGAGAGGCTGTTGAGTTGTTTTTTGGAGCAGATCATTGTATTTGGCATCTAACCTTGAAATAGAGGAGAAAGCATGGAATTTCTGCTGAAAACTCATCCTCCTCTGAGCAGGTGGTACAAATAAGCATCGTTGTGTTCTCAGAGGCAGGAACCACATTTGCACCTTGATACCAACTACCTCAATAACCACAGTGCTGAATTTTCACAAATTGCGAATTAGGAAATTGTTGCTCATTTTACAATTTGGTTTCCCTCAGGATTCCTTTTAAGTAGCCAGCTACCCCAGTACTTTTGAAATATGACTTGCTTATAAAAATTTGATAGGCTTGGCACGGTGGCTCACACCTGTAATCCCAGCACTTTGGGAGGCCGATGTGGGGTGGATCACGAGGTCAGGAGTTCAAGACCAACATGGTGAAACCCTGTCCCTACTAAAAATACAAAAACTAGCCAGGCATGGTGGCACATGCCTGTAATTCCAGCTGCTCGGGAGGCCAGGCAGCTAGGCAGGAGAATCACTTGAACCCAGGAGATGGAGGTTGCAGTGAGCCAAGATCATGCCACTGCACTCCATCCTGGGTGACAGAGCAAGACTTCATCTCAAAAAAAAAAAAAAGATATATAAACAAGTTTTTATAATATTCTCAATATGAACTAGTAGAAAAAAAGCATGTGTTTTTAGGTCTTAGAGGCCTGGTTCCCAGTTTTATCTCTGACTCTAATGAGGTATAGTATTACCTACATTGATTAGCCCTTCTATACTTCATAGGAGATGCTCCAAGACTGCTAGCTTTCTTCATTCAATAAAGAGAGATATAACAGGATGGGCCTTAAAAGTAGCATGCATTTCTTCTTTCATTCACTCATTCAAAATATTTTCATGCGTGAAAATGCCAAGGATGTTTGGTCAACCAACTCTTCCCAGACCCTGGCTGTGAGCCTGGCTTAGAACAATTCCATTTTAATGGTCCATGCCCTCAGGCACTTGTATTCTAGTAGAAGAGCAAGGTAAGAAAACAGCTTAAAAAGTTAAACAGTTTTAGGTTGAGATGGGTGTTGTGAGAAAAATAAGCAGGATGCTTTGAACCTATGCAGGTAGGAAGGTCTGGAAAGGCCTCTCTGATATGGTGATGGTTAAAGCAAAACCAAAAAGACCAAGAACACATGGAACACATGAAGGGCTGGAAGAACAGTGTTTTATGGGGAAGGACTAGTACACACAAAGGCTGCAAAGGCGAGTGGGCTCATTATGTTCTAGAACATGCCAAAAAGCGGGTGCAGCTGGAGAGGGAGTAAGATGGCACAAAAGGTGAGTGAGGTGGACAGGAGCCTTATCACGCAGGCTTACACAGGCTCTCAGAAGCCCTGCGTGTTGGTTTCTTGGGACTACCGTAACAAAGCTCCACATACTGGGTGGCGTAAAACAACAAAAATGTATTGCCTCACAGTTCTGGAGGCCAGAATTCCAAAATCGGGTGCTGGCAGGGCTGCGCTCCCTCCAAAACCTGTAGAGGAGAATCCTTCCTTGCCTGTCCCTAGCTTCCAGTGGGTTGCTAGCAATCCTGGGCTGGGTGACTCCAGCTCTGCCTTGGTTGTCACAGGGCGTTGTCTTTGTGTGTCTCTGACTTCACATAGCCCTCTTCTTCTTCTTTTTGTGTGTGTCTGTGTGTGTCCACTCTGAGGCACAGAAGTTTTTATTTATTTATTTATTCATTTATTTATTTCATTGATAAACATAATAGTTATGCATAGTTTTGGGGTACATGAGATATTGGATACATGTGTACAGTGTGTGATAATCAAATCAGGGTGATTGGAATATCCATCACCTCAAACATTTCTCATTTCTTTGATTGGGGACATTATAATTCTTCTAGCTATTTTGAAATATACAATAGATTATTGTTTACTATAATTTCCCTGCTGTACTATCGAATACTAGAACTTATTCCTTCTGTTGAGGGTGTACTTTTGCACCCATTAACCAACTTTTCTTTATGTCCTCCTTCCCACTTCCCTTACCAGCCTCTGGTAACCACCAATCTACTCTCTACCACCATGAAATCAACTTTTTTTTTTTATAGCTCTCATATATGAGTGAGACTATGCAGTGTTTGTCTTCTGTGCCTGGCTTATTTCACTCAACATAATGACCTCCAGTTCTGTCCATGCTGCTGCAAATGACAGGATCTTATTTATTTTTTTATGGCTAAATGGTATTCCATTTTGTATGTATATCATATCTTCTTTATCCATTCATCCACTGATGCATATTTAGGTTGATTCCATATCTTGGCTATTGTGAATAGTGCTCCAATAACCATGGAAGTGAAAATATCTCTTCAACATACTGATTTCCTTTCTTTTGGATATATACCCAGTGGTAGGATTGCTAGATCATATGGCAGTTCTAACTTTAGATTTTAAAGGAACCTCCATACTTTTTTTCCATGGTGGCTGTATTACTTACATTCCCACCAACAGCATATGGTCATCTCCTTTCTCCACATCCTTGCCAGAATTTGTTATATTTTGTCTTTTTGATAATAGCCATTCTGACTGGGGTAAGATGATATATCACTGTAGTTTTGATTTGCATTTCCCTTATAATTAGTGATGTTGAGCATTTTTTTATATACCTGTTGGCCATTTATATGTCTTCTTTTGAGAAATGTCTATTCAGGTCTTCTGCCCATTTTTAAGTGGATTATTTGTTTTTTTGCTACTGAGTTCTTCGAGTTTCTTATATATTCTGATACACAGCCATCTTCTTATGAGGACTCCAGTTATATACGATTAGAGAGGTCCACCCTTTTTCAGAATGAAATTATAGCTTAACTAATTACATCTGTAGTAACTCTATTTCCAAGTAAGGTCACATTCTGAGGTACAAGGGTTTAGGACTTCAACATATGAATTCCAGTGGGACACAGCTCAACACATGACACCATGGTAGGGAACTTTATTCTACTTGCAAGTTCTGAGTGTCTTACGCAGGTAGATGGACTGGTGTGATGTATGCTTTAAAGACCGCTGTGTGAAGATGGCCTTAGGGTGATGAGGATGGAAGTTGGAGACTAATAAAGGACTAAGAAAATGCTAAGAAAATCCAGGTGAGAGGTGATGATGGCAGAACTAAGGTGATAGCAGTAGAGAGAAGAGAAGTGGATGGAGATTAGACATCTTTTGCAGAACGAATGACAAAATACCCCTATGGATTGGACATGGGATGAGGAAAAGGAAGGACTTGAGGGTGGTGTCTAGGCTTTTTACTTTAATCGTGAAGGGAAGCTGGTGCCATTTACCTTGTTCGGACAAACCTGGAGAGGATCAGGTTAGGGACTGCGAGTGGTATGGACGGCAAAGGAATGGGAAGAATGCAGGGATTAAAAATTGGAAATCCCCCTCCCCAGTCAACAATATCTTACTTTTATCTGAAAAATACTAAGTAAAAAAGCATCCTTTTGTTGGAAAGCTCAATCCTTGTTAAAATGAAGACATCTCTGGGAGAGGAAACATAGTGAGCACCTTTCCCAAAAGCAGCCACTGATTTGGAGATGAGACAGAGTAGCATACAGGACATCAGAGAGAACATGCTCAGGACAGAAAGAGCAATGTAGGAAAAGGCAGTGTCTTGGCATCACAGTCTTTCCTCCGACTGGCTGTGAGCAAGTGCTCAATTTAATTCCATCTCAGTGCTGGGTCAGGACAAGTGCCCAAAAGCAAATTGACAAAAGTACCAGCATGATGGAGTTAGAAGGTAGCAAGTTCCCTCCACAGAGCCCAGCTGGAAAGGAAGATAGAGGGGAAGTTGACCCCTGGGGATGGGGAATAGGGTGAGAGGAGAACATGAAACTGAGAAAAGGGCTTTGAGTGAAATCTAGGCTAAAAGCTAAGGTTTCTTTAGAAACCCACCATTGACCCAACATGACCAGGGCTTTCTCTTGACTTGATTATTTTTGATACCCCATCTTCTTCTGTATTCCTGGAACTAGCTCTCCCAAGCCCCAGAATTGTGCTTCTATCAGAGCTGGGTTTTCATCAGAGTCTCCCCTTTATCCTGTATCTCTGTTGCCCTATTTTGTTTGAATTCCTGCCAGGTCAGCTGAATTTGGGCATTTGGGGTGAAAAACCATCAAGGGTGGCATCCTGGCTTTGGCACCTGGCACAGTGTGACCCCACTGGTCTCTCCCTCACATTTGCTGTGGTCCGTGCACGGAATTTGTCAAAAGACCTCCTCAGTATCAGCTTTCCTGCAGCCTCAATGCACCTTGTTCTGAATAGGATATTACCCCCCAAGAGTATATTAGGGCATTTTCCTATGCCAGAAGGGGTCCTTAGGCCTCTTGCAGTTTTTTCTGGGTGACAGTGAAGGAGGAGGTGGCTGCAGAGCTTACTGCCTGTGGACTGACCACCCCAGGGCCTGGTGTCAGGACCATTTGTCCAGCCTGTTGAGTGAAGGTCATTCTGCCTAAACTGTAAGCACAAGAGAGAGTTCAGCATCATTTGCATCCTATTTTATTGTCTTTCTTCTCTTTTCTTTCAAGGCCTCATTTTTTTTGGCTTGAACAAATGGTAAAGGCCATTTTATTACAGGTACCAAGCCAAACTTTCCTTGGTTTTGTGGCCATCCTGCTGGGGAAGGAAGTACTCCTTTACTTTAAATAACTTTAAAAACATCTGTTTGGTCTCAGGGGCTGCAGCTGGAAAGATTTTCTAACTAATACTTGTTTTATGGGGGTGTTTTTGGGGGGGTTTATTGAGTGTCAAACCTGGCAGTAAATTAGAATCAGAAGACAACAGTTAGTGATAAGCAGAGAAGCCAAGGATGTTACCATAGGCAGGCAGCAGAGAGAGGGGAATTGGTGGCTGGCCCCCCAAAAACAGATTTGAAGATCTCCTTCTGTCATGTAGTGAATCCCCAAGTGCCTAGGGTGGGCTGTGATTACTTGAGCTCCTGTCTCCACTGTCTCAGCTCACTTGCCTTGGGGTGGACACACAACACACATTTGCTCATAGCATCAGGTATTCAGGAGCAAAGAGCTGAATTTATCTGGTTAATTTAGATACCCCTACCCCCTCTTTTAACACCAGATTGCCAGGATCATGACCTCAAAAGGCTACCCTGAAATGCAATTGACAAATGGGATGAAAGATTTCCCGTTTCATCCACATTTGCCTCCTGAGCTACTTACAGCAGCAGGTCACCGCAGCCAGAGCCCACCTGCTTGCCCACCATGCCCGCACACAGACAATGCTGCTTCTGTGGCTGGAGGTCGGAACACCTCAGCACTATCTCAGTTTGGCTGCAGATCCTCTGTGTGCTTGGTAAACAGGTTTCCTCATCTGTAAAATGAATTGGCTCTTCCACAACTTTTTTAAAAGCACTAACATATTAGGACTCTCACTAAATACTCAAATGCTAAACTCAAATACTAAAAGAGTGCAAAGGGATGGGCTCCCAAATATTACAGTGAAGGCTGCAGCATTTTCTGACCTTGCTGCTTTTTCTGGTGAGTGGCTTTTATTTCTTAGTTTGGTTTCTTCTCTCCCATTCTAATCAAGCAAGAAGTGACCACCAAAAGGGGCACTCACCAAACCAGAACAAGCTAGTTCTTTCATCTTTAATTCATTGCAACCAAACAGATGCCACAGAAAGAGCCAAGGGCTCCAGGCTTTAGCTCCAGCCTTGCCATTAACTACATATGTAAGTCAGCCATGCTGGTCTGCAGGTTCTTGCTTTGCATGATCAAGGGACAACTTGGAAGGTCTCCAATCACTCTATTCCCCCAGATGGAAATGTATTCACTTATTTCCTGGAGATGTCTGTCCTCCTCCCAGTTAAAGACAGACCTTGACCCACCTCCACTTCCTTCTCTGTGGCCCTGTCTTATCTGTCCTCTTGTTCTTGCCTCTTCAATTGTTCTCTCACCGTGTTTGTCACTTCTGAGCTATCACTGTGATCCCCCTGATTGTTTTTCTAATGTCCCTGAACTTCAACCTGATTTTCACGCATATACAATGTCTTCCTAAACACTTATAGACTCTGACACATTCTGTAACTGACACATTTCCCTTTATCAAATGCAATCTAAGAAGCTCACAGTTTCTCTCAGTTTCAACAAGAGAAATCAGGAGCACTTGAATTATACAACTTGACATTATTAGGGCTGATGTCTGATTTTGTCCTGTCTGCCCCTGTCATTTCTGTACTACCTTTTACAAAACCTCTCCTATGACCTGTGTCCTCCTCCAGCTCCATTTGAGAACACCTGCTGTATACCCTGTGGGCTAGCTTTTATTATGTTCGCCTCAATGATGAAGAAACAGGCTTGGAAGTTAAATTATCTACCCCAGGCCCACAGCCTGGAACCTAGGATTCCAACCAAACCTTGTCTGATTCTAAAGCATAGCAGAGGCTCCATACTCTGCCTCCCTCTTCTACATCATTTCAGTTTCTTCACTTTCCCACCTCCAATTCTCACCCAAACTGAATGTCTCACAGTCTCTGTGCCCCCACTTTGCTCCATCCCTTGGCCTTCTGCAGTCCAAGCTCCATTCTGAGATCATCCAAGGCTTCTCTTCTGTGTTGATCCTTGGCCTTCTTGGAGTCTCTTTCTCCCATGTTCTCCACAACAGAGCATTCTCCTGACTGTTTTCATTCTGCATCTCACTCTTTCATCAGTATCTTTTTCTCTACCATGCCCCATAAATTTGGGTGCTCCTGAGGGTCCTGTCCTTGTCCCCTGCTTTCTTGTTGTACAACCTCCTTGATCTACTTCATCTACTCAAGTTTGGTCCACAATTTCTATATTGTGAAGATTCAAATCTGCATCTCTAGCCATATATCCATTTGCCTGCTAGGCATTTCTACCTGAATATTTTATAGGCATGCCAGTGGCTCTTACTCTATGGCTCTTACTCTAAGTCTAGACTACAGCAGAAAGCAATGCTCTTTTTATTAAGGCATAGTGCCTCTTTCAGAATAATTTACAGCATACAACCAGGCCTGCTGTGCAGCATTACAATTTGTCATTAAAACTCCATTCCTCTTGCCAGAGTAAATGAGCCATTTACAGCCAGGGCGCCAAGATGGACTGTTGTTATTTTTTCTGCCTTTGTATTATGAGTGTTCATGGCTCTCCTCAGACAAGCTCCTGGGGATTCCCAGTGGAGTTGCCTTAACATGCAGGTCAATTAGCCAGGCTCAAGGGTAGTTTCCTGGATATTGGTATCCCCCTTGCAGAGGACTGCAGGAAAGCTGAACAGTGTTCCCCCAATGTGGGTGGTGATCCTGAGAAATATCATTTGTATCTGCATGTGCTGTCTCACACACACTAGCTCACATGTGCACACACACGTGCATGCACAGGACAAAAACAAACACAGGGCAACCCAGCATCTGCCCCCCAGCCATCAGCATTGTTACACCTTTATAGGGGGCGGGAACAGGTTGGTCAGCAGGTGAACGTCAGGTGAGTTGAGAAAAGTTATTAAATCTTAAATCCTTAAGGAAAGTTATTAAATCTCTTCTAAAATGCATGCATAGGCGGGCTCAGTAACTAACATGCAAATGTTTAGGGTCTGAAGCTCCTACCGATAATCTTTCAGATCTCAGAATTCCAGCCCCTTGTGCTGTTCTGGGTTGTCTGACACAGACGAAGCAGAGAACAGTAGAATAAACAGCTCAGTAAACAATTCATTGAGGGAAAGAGAGTGAGAAGATTCACTGGACAGCTAGAGGAGGAAATACTGCTGGTGACTATGGAAGAAATTTGCCCTAAGGCCTGCAGGCAATAGCTTGGTCTTATTTATCCTGGTGTCCCACCCTCTCCTCCAACACATACTGCCCTGGCAGGTACGTAGAAGATGCGTGAAAATATCTTTTGAATTGAGCTATGCAAAAAATACTGGATTCTGCCCTCCAAGAGTTTACTGTTTAGTTTCACAGAAAGCACATGCCCTCCTTTCTCTGCCTCTTGAAGACTGACCTATCTTTCAAGGCCACTGGCCCAATTCTGTTTTCTAAGTAAGACCACTGAGTCAGTGGTGACCTCTCCTTCTCCCTAACAAAGTCTGATTTACTTGAATATACAACTATCTCCCTCTTGGCCTGTGAATTTCTTGTGTTAGGGAACATATCTGATTTATCCTTATCTCTTCCACAGTACCTGGTGTAAAATGCCCAATAAATGCATTGAAATATTCATGAAGCTTACTAAATGCTCTGCCTTATGAGCCATGAAATATAAAGTGCCTTAAACTTTGTTTTTCTCTTATGTAAAATAAGGATAATAATAATGACACCCCTATAGGATTGCTGCAAGGATTAAGTGTGATAATATATATAAAACTCTTAGCACAAACACCTGGCTCACAGGAATAGTAGCTACTACCATAATGGTAACTTCGAGGGCAAGTTTTCTCAGAGTTATTTAGCCCTCCTTCACCCTGTGTCCAGGAGTGCAGATCAGAATGGTCAGATTCCAGGACACCAAGTTTTCTGTGGGAGCTTCCCTAGGAATATAACTAAGGAATTTAAATCAGGTTCAGCTCATGCTGTTACACTCTCTTCCTCCACTCAGGCATTGGGTGTGGCTTTTCCAAGCTTGAGAAGGGTGTGATCTGAGATGGGCTTGGGTATAGAGGGGAATTATATTTAGGTCTACCCTGTATAGGAAAAAGTGCCTTCCCAAAGTCTCCCTGGCCTAAAGTATAAGAGATATGTGTTGGGATTTAGACCCAGAGCCCAAGCCAATAATGGGACCCCCTTCTCACACGTGGCTACCTGCTGCTATCACCACAACAGCTATCATACCCATAACTACAACAGAGGCCAATTAACGTGGTGATAATTGACAAATGTCAAGACATCCTACATTGAGGCACACTGTGCGTTTTGCGTGAGCTTTTAAATTGGTAGGGAAGGAAAACTTTTATACCTACACCTATCATGGAAGGCAGAAGGTAAGAGCTAAAATAAAGGTATGCCAAGAACAAAGGCAGGAAAGAAGGGTTTTAACAACTTGAGGCCTGATCCATTGATTAGTGAAGAGGAAACATGTTCAAAAACCACTCTATAACCACCTTCTCCAAGTTTTTTATAATTTTGCTTCTTCGGATATCTTCTCATCATAGTCTTAAATGCCATCAAATTAACTGAAAAATGCTAAAAATGCAACCACTCTAAGAGAATGGGTTAGATGGGAGATGGCTTTGTTAAAGAAGTCGGTCTTAAAGCAAAAGTAGGGCTTTGTCATGGTAGTATGGAAGGAAGGACATTTTTGGTCAAGAGAAGAAAGTGCAGGGCCTGTTGAGGAAGGAATGAGTAGTAAAATATGGCTAGAACAGGGTGCAGAGGGGAAGAACTTCAGAGAATGACCAAATAAACAGGCTGAAAGGTGTAGACATTATAGGCAATAAAGCAACCACAGAGGTTTCTAAGCCATAGGGTGACATGATAGATCTGTATTCTAGAAAAGTTAGTTTTGCAGCAGTTGTGTCCATTGAAAGGGACAGGATAAGGGAGATAGATAAGAAGACATGCTATGATGATAACTAGATTTGGATACCAAGTGGTATGGTGGAAAGGAATGAGAGAACAGGGTCAAAGATGAATGACTGCCCAATTTCAATCCATCATAACAGGATGTATAGGATTGCCCTTAAGTAAGATGGGGAATCCAAAAACGAGGAACAAGTTTGTAAGGTTTTGGGGGCCAATGATGAATTCCATTTGGGACATGTTGCTTTGGATATACCAATGGGACATTCATGTGAAAATGATCTCGGCAATCCTATCCTGGAATTCAGGATAGGATCAGAATGAGGGACACAGTTTATAAGGTAAACAGAATGGAGGTGATATAGAAGATAAGGGCATAGATGAGCTTACCAAAGGGGAGAGTTTAGAATGAAAAGAAAAGACCAAAGGCTAAGCCTGTGCTATTCTTTCTCCTCACAATACGCTTCAGACCTGGGCACAAACCATCAGTGAGTGTCATGATAACACTACTGTGGGCAAATCCCCCCTCTATAAGGGCCTGATTTCCTCCTCTATAAAATAGAGGGTTGAACAGGGTGGTCCATATCCTGTTAATTGTGTTTGGAGAGCACACAACAAACCAGCTACTATCCAAAGGGGACATCCCGAGGCAGGACTAAGCAAAGGAAATCCAGCACAGGGAAAACACTTTCTGGTGCTGGTCCCAGTTAGGCAGCGTTCAGTTTAACCCATCACCATCACCATCAGTAGCTTTCAGCTGCTACTGACCACACTTATAGGAAGAAAAACAATTAGAATGGAGAGCTAACTCTTTGGAAATGGTCAAAGAACACGGGTCTACAAAACCGTCAATAAAGCGCTAAGATGCCTGGGCGGGGTCAAAAAGTCTACCTGGGCGGGGTCAAAAAGTCTACCTGCTCAGCATATGGGGCCCAGACATCTGACCTTTACCAACTCCACAATAACCACTTCATCTATGGATCCAGTCTTGGTATCACCTAGTCGCTGTTTTCAAGTAACAGAATATTTGGTTCTCAATGGTAGGTGACTGGAATACAGCTTACTTTCTCCCACCCCTACCCCCAATCCTTTCTGCCCCCTTATAGTTTAATTTGCTTGTAAATTACTTGGGAATACATTTGGGAGCCATTATAGGGAAATAGAAGGCAGACATGATGAACAGAATGCAGGGTGTTTTTTATTACTTCACATTGTGCTCAACAATTAGGAGGAATTCTAGAAGCCCCTCCCAGTGGCCAGGAATTGGTCATAGCATGAATAAACTCAATATAGGTTGAGTATTCCTTACCCAAAATGCTTGATACCAGAAGTGTTTTTGGATTTTGGATTTTTTTTTTGAATATTTGCATTATATACTTACCAGTTCAGCATCCCTAATCCAAAACTGAAATCTAAACTGCTCCAATGAACATTTCCTTTGAGTGTCATATTGGCACTCAAAAAGGTTCCAATTTTGGAGCATTTTCAATTTTGGGTTTTGGGATTAGGGATACTCAACCAGTGGTAGGTTTGGGATGATATCAGCATGCTAAGGTCAAAGAGACCTAGCTGGGAAGGGTGGGAGGAACATGGAATTTTCATTCTCTGGGCACCCCTTGAACAGTCTTACTATTAGGGCCCCAAATTTGTTCTAAGTGTGTGTGTGTGTGTGTGTGTGTGTGTGTGTGTGAGAGAGAGAGAGAGAGAGAGAGAATTTTCTTTCTTCCTTTATATTCTAAGTTCCTCAGGACAAAATTTTGGGTTTCTTTGTATTCTCCCTGCAGCTCCTCATGTAGTTCTAAGCAAATAAAGGAATTCATTAGGTCCTTGATTTCAGAAGCCTCCCAGTTCTCTATGTAGGAGGAATCTTAGGGTGGCAAGATAAGTTGAGGGACTTTTCTTCAAGCACATTTCACAAGTAAGAGAAAATGTTGACTGTGTATATCTAAGAATGGGTGGGGCTCAATGATGCCCCCCTAAGTTACTCTTTACTATTATTGATTGATTGATTGATTGATTGAAGAAGCAATGTTTTGATTGATTGAAGAAGTAATGTTTCCAATGGCTACAGCAGACTGGAGCAAAAGAACAAAATGAAAGAAAATACATTAGGCTTTCCATTTCTTCTAATTCTGGGGCATCTGATGAAGCTTTGGATCCCCCAAGGTAAGAGCTGGACTCTGCTGGTGAAAACTCTTTAGGAAAAACAAAAGAATATTGTCAGAATCTGATGCACCTTAGAAATGATGCAGCAGAACTGCTTTATTTTCTAAAAGGTGAAATGGAGACCCAGAGAAGCAAAGTGATTTGTTCATGATCATACAGCTATTCAGTAAAGCCAGGACTTCTGTGATCCACTGTCCTTTCCTTAAACCAGTGGTTCTCAACCTTGGGAGCTTTAAAAAACTGCTAGTGTTGGATCCATCTCAGACTAATTAAATCAGAACCCATGGGGATGAGGCCCAGACATGAGTGGGTTTTTTGTTCTTTTTTAAAAAAAAGCTCCCTAGGAGATTTCTCAAAGAACTGAAAATAGAACTACCATATGATCCAGCAATCCCACTTTTGGGTATCTACCCAAAGGAAGATAAATTATTATATAAAAAAGATACCTGCACTCAAATATTTATTGCAACACTATCCACAGTAGCAAAAATATGGAATCAACCTAACTGTCCATCCATGGATGACTGGATAAAGAAAATGTGTATATATACACACACAATGGAATACTATTCATTCGTAAAAAAGAACAAAGTCTGTCTTTTGCAGCAATATGGAAGGAACTGGAAGCCATTCTCTTAAGTGAAGCAACTCAGAAACAGAAAGGCAAATTCCACATGTTCTCACTTACAATTGGGAGCTAAATAATGCATATGCATGGGCACAGAGTGTGGAATAATAGACATTGGAGACTCGGAAGGGTGGGGGGAATGGGAGAGGGTCAATGATGAAAAATTACTTAATGAGTACAACGTACATTATTTGGGTGATGAATACACTAAAAGCCCACACTTTACCACTATGCAATATGGCCATGTAACAAAATTGCCCTTACACCCCTTAAATTTATACAAATAAAAATAAATAAATAAAAGCTCCTTAGGGCTGAGAACTACTGCTCCTGTCCTATGGGTCCCCAGCTTTATTTTAACTCAAAATGAGTTTAGAAAAATTTATGAACCCATTTAAAAATATTTATTGAGTATCTCCTGTGTGCAAGGCACTGTGTTATGTTAAGTGGCTGAAGGGAAATTAGACTGGGGAAAAAGACGAGGTCATGGCCTAGGTTTCAAACTAATATAAAAGACATAACGAATAAGAAAGGATGCCACCTTCTTCCAACCCTCATCCCTCTTCCTTTTGACAGTTGCAGATGTTGCTAATTCATTTTGGCACCCTTTTTCTCTGACCCAAATATAGTCTTATAAACCTTTTCAACCCACGGCTCTAGGCAAGTATCACCTTTTGCTCTTTTGGCA
Source organism: Homo sapiens (assembly GCF_000001405.40). Classification (NCBI taxonomy): domain Eukaryota; kingdom Metazoa; phylum Chordata; class Mammalia; order Primates; family Hominidae; genus Homo; species Homo sapiens. The sequence continues at coordinate 70,124,778 of NC_000014.9, read as the reverse complement.
CCAGATCTCTTGAACACTATTTACTGGTTTTGGAAAGATTATACATGTATGTCTGGAGTTGAATGACTGAACAGAGCAATAATAAGAGTTAAAGCAAGAAAGACAGGCCTACAGGAGATGGCAGAGGGTCTTGCCTGTCAGGCATTGATTTTGAACTTCATTGCATAGGCAATCAAGAACTATTGAAGTTTTTGCACAAAAGACTATAGATGAGATTAACCTGGTTACCGTAAAGGACAAAGTGATTGCAGGTAGAATGAGGCCAGCTTCATAAATGAATCATCAGGATATGAGAAGCAAGGGCTTGAACATGAGAGGCCATAGTGGGAATGGAGGGAAAGGGACAATGTGAGAAGCAGTGAAGGAGAAGGGCTGATTGAGTAAAGCAGTGGAGAAGACAGTGAAAGATGTCAGATGACTACCATGTTTGGCGACTGAGTGAGGGAAGAGGTGGTGATGATATTACTGAAGAGAGAGGCAAGGGGTGGTCACTGGATTTAGAGCAGACATTATCAACTTGTGGTGTCCAGACATTTCACCCTGGGAGAAACCTGTTCTGAAGTGGCTTCAGCATCTCTGAGGTCAGATTCCTAGTTCTACTATTTTTCTACTGACTGAAATGGAAATCGAGTAGGCAAGGCTTTTGATTTGTCTCAGTGGTCTCTTCTGTAAAATGGGGGTGTTTATATCCATAGTCTTATCACAGGGCTATTTGGGGGATTAAGTAAGACAAGTGTGGCAGAGCTTTGTAAACTGTAATACACTGTGTACAATTGGATAATTATGGATTCTTCTGACTCATCCACATGGATGTCTGCTGACCCTGGGGGACCGGAGCCTGGGAGGGAGGCCAGACCTGGAAATGGAAACTTGAAAATGTTCTCTGTAGAAAAGATAATTAACATTTGAGGATGGTTAAGTCCTCTTAAATAGATGTCAGAAAAAATGGAGGTCATGTAGACAGAATGTTGGATAACACTACTTTGTAAAATATTTTATCTTATTTCCATTATAAAAGAAAAAAAGCTGGGCTGGGCACGGTGGCTCACGCCTGTAATCCCAGCACTTTGGGAGACTGAGGCGGGTGGATTACCTGAGGTCGGGAGTTCAAGACCAGCCTGGCCAACGTGGTGAAACCCTGTCTCTACTGAAAATAGAAAAATTAGCCGGGTGTGGTGACAGGTGCCTGTAATCCTAGCTACTCGGGAGGCTGAGGCCGGAGAATTGCTTGAACCCAGGAGGTGGAGGTTGCAGTGAGCCAAGATTGCACCATTGCACTCCAGCCTGGGCGACAAGAGTGAAACTCCATCTCAGAAAAAAAAAAAAATAGACAGGAAAATAAAAAAAGCCACCTCACATAGTCTACTACCACCAAACACATCATTAACATTATATTTCTTTATTCCATGCTCTTTGTTTTTAATATAAACAATTACTTTTAAGGGAAAATGAGAAAAGGAGAGAGTGATAAGACTTTATTTTAAAAGGTGGAATAATTCTAACCATGGAGAGTATTTATAAATTTTTTTTTTTTGAGACAGAGTCTCGCTCTGTCACCCAGGGTGGAGTGCAATGGCGTGATCTCAGCTCACTGCAACCTCCACCTCCCGGGTTCAAGCAATTCTCCTGCCTCAGCCTCCTGAGTAGCTGGGATTACAGGCAACCGCCACCATGCCCTGCCAATTTTTTTTTTTTTTTTTTTTTTGGAGATGGAGTCTTGCTGTGTCGCCCCAGGCTGGAGTGCAGTGGCATGATCTTGGCTCACTGCAAGCTCCGCCTCCTGGGTTCACGCCATTCTCCTGCCTCAGCCTCCCAAGTAGCTGGGACTACAGGCGCCCGCCACCGCACCCAGCTAATTTTTGTATTTTTAGTAGAGACAGGGTTTCATTATGTTGGCCAGGCTGGTCTTCAACTCCTGGCCTCAAGCAATCCTCCTGCCTCAGCCTCCCAAAGTGCTGGAATTACAGGTGTGAGCCACCGTGCCAGGCCCATAAAATATTTTTTATAGACAAGTGAGAGCAGAAATCACAGGTTCTTATGAGCAGGAAAATTTTGAAGGTCATCTACTCTGAACGTTTTTTTGTTTGTTTGTTTGTTGTTGTTGTTTGTTTGTTTTTGCTTAGTTTACATTTATTAAATACCCGTTATGGTCCAGGCCCTTGGCTAAGCGCCATCCATGCAATATATCACAAGATATGCCCAGCAATCCTAGGAGGTAGGGTTTATTACTACCCATCGTACAGAGGAGGAAACTGAGTCATAGAGTTTTAGTGTCCTGATCCTGGTCACAGAGCCAGGAAGTGGCAGAGCAGGCCAGGCCAAGTCTGTCTGACATCAGAGCTCATCAGAGCCCTCCCCATTGTCCTTGAACCAGTAAAGATGGAGTTCTTCTACAGGGGTGGTTGGGGGACAAGGACCCCATGGGTGTGTCTGAGTCAGAAACATCTGCGAGTGGGCTGAGAAATGAGTCTTCTGTGAAAAAGAGCAAAAGAAAAAATGGGTCAGGAGCCAATAATCATTGTCCATCTTTGTGTGAATGTATGGTGTGGGAGTGGGAGCAATAAACGATTCTAAGGTCACACAGAAAAGATGCCACCTTCTCCAATCACATACCGCCCCTCGTCCCCCAGTTTTCTCTGAAATAGCTCTTCTTTTGGCTCTATCCTGGCTTCTTCACACAGGGGTGTCCAGTCATCTCATCCTGGTGGGACAGGGATAGAGCTGTGGCAGTGGAGATGAGGAAGCTCGCCTCCTAAGTGAGTCTGAATTCTTAAATATGGAGCCACTCCATAATCATTTGGAGTGAATATTGGGCCATGGCCCTTTTTCTTGCCAGCTGAGCTATGAAAAAAGGATGTCCTAAGACCAGAGGCTGTGGGACCATTCCCAGCCCCTGCAGGAATCAAAGGAGCTGACAGAATTGTTTGTTTGTTTTTTTCACAAATTGAAAAAAAAATGTAAAATTTTTGAAAAGAAAGCCTCATTGAAAAGAAATCCCTCTCCCCAGCTGGGCTCCCAGGCAGCCTCCTGCAGAACATCCTTAGCATTGCAGAGTTGTTCCCATGGCAACCGAGTAAGGGGCTTTTTGTTTTCCTTAGAAGATTGAATCCTTTCAACCAGAAGGTAACCACTGGTTCTTCCCCACAATCCACACTCCAAACCCCCTACCCTTATTTGACTACATGACTAGTTTTGCATTTATGGATTTTTTTATGCCTAATTGAAAAAGGCTAAATATACAGAAACTGAGGCTGAAGTGGTTTAAGGAGGCAACTGGCCCAGTGGTTTCTCAGCAACCACATGTCAAAGCTGTGGACGTTAGACTTGACGAGAGCAAGACATATCAGAATCTGTAGCAGGAGCATCTAGTCTCCCAGTTCAATAGTGTCCACAAAAGAAATCCAGAGGTTTTTGAAGCAAGGAATTTGGGTGGCACTGCTGTGAGAAACAATCACCTGGCTCCTCCATGGGGCATAGAGTGGAGATGCTTCTTCAAATACCCCTTCCTTTCCAAGGCCATGACTCAGAATGACTGGCGTAGGGAGCCTGGACCTGATCTCTTCAAGGAAGGGGAATCAGATGAGCTGTTTAATCTCTCTTGTAAAATGAGGGGTTATGAGACCATAGGCTCATTTTGGGGGGGGTCTAAAATGCAGTATTTTTTGAACTGATATGGGGAAAAAAAGACATTTCTGAATTGTTGTCATGTTGCAGATTCTGGGCCGTTCCAGCATAAGCACCTTTCTTAGAGTACTTGGCTTTGTGAAGTAGTCCTTATCCCCTCCTTCCACTATTTTACATCAAGTTAAAATAGAGGAAGATGCCTAGAAATGGCCGTATAGACAGAGAAAACTGCACTAAAACTCCCTCCGTCATGCCTGACTCCTCTCTAGACTATGACCATCGTGGGGCCAGAAATCATATCTTAAAGATCACTGTGCCTCCAGTACCCAGCACGGTGTTTAATAAATGTTTGTTGAATGAACGAACTAGTAAAATTTTCAAATCATTAGAGCTGAAGTATCCTTTAAGATTCTTTAGTCCCTCATTTTACAGATAAGGAAGCTAAGGCTCAAGACATTGTGTGGCTTGGCCAAAGGCACACAGCAAGCTAAAGGCAGAGGGAGGACAGGACCCGGCTGTCTCAACCCCCTGGCTGCTACACTTCCTGCAGCATTTCTAATTCTTTTACCATTCTTGCGAGGGATTTTACAGGCATGTACTGCTAGAGCCGAAATAATTAGAAGCCTCTTACTACTCATCAGAAAAGCTATGTGAGCCCCTAGGGAGGACACAGCTAGCCTAGACTCTGCCTCTTTGCCCTCTGCTGCTTATTAGCAGAATGTAAGTGGTTGTGTATGATGATTAGTGTAAGTAGGATGGGCAAATGCACACCTTTCCCACCTTCAAACTCAGAAGTTGTAACCAAGAGTCACACTGACTAAACACTCCAATTTCCCTTTCTGTTTTCTTAACATATGTCCTATTTTACCAATAATAGCCATGGTATATTAGTCATGGTATTTCACGCTAGCTGCAGAAATAACTTCCAAATCTCATTGGCTTACTCAGTGAAAGTTTATTTCTTACTCATATAAAGTTGAATGTCCTGGTCAGGCAGTTATCTAAGCCACAACTTGGGGATGGGGATGCAGGCAGCTTCCATCGTATTGGCTCCACCATTCAGGGATGGCAGAGTTGCTCTGGCATAATCCAACCAATAGAGGGGGGAGGTTTGGCACTTGTCAGTTAACCACCTAGCCTAGCATTGACACACACCACTTCTACATACACTCCCCTAGTCATCATTCAGTCATGTGGCCCAACCTAGATGCAAAGGCATCTGGGAAATGTAGCCCCTATCTGGTCAGCAACAACTTTGCACTTGGAAGGGGAGCCTGAATCGTTATTGGTCTCCAACACATGTAACTAGCAATTATACAGAACGTTATTTGTCAGGCAATGTGCCAAGAATTATTTCATTTAATCTTCACAACAATCCTATGAGGTTATTGTCCTCTTTAACGTATAGATGAAAAAGTTGATGGTAGAGATATAACTTAACTAATGCAAAGTTGCATAAGTGGTTGGTAGCAAATCCAAAATTCAGGCTGTTCTCTCCAGAGCTCAGGCTCATGATTGCTGCATTCTACTGCTTTGAGCTTCTGATCTGAGAAAATGCATCAGCCACTAAGTAGCCTGTGTAGTCTCCAGCAATTACTTTCCTCCCTCTGGATCTTGGTTTCATTCTCTGCAAAGTGAGGATGTTTAACTGGATAAAATCTGATGTCACCTGCCAGCTGGGACATCATATGATTCTCAGGGTAAGCATATCAGGTGGGTGGGGTCCCCAGTGATGCTTGACCATAGCAAAGCCCTTTCAAAGGTTTCTTAGCACACCACATAAATGGAAGCCTCACAGTGTCCATGTAGGAGAAAGCAGGGCAAAGTATTTCCATTTACCCAACAAAGAAATCAACATATAGTAAAAAGAGAGTGTTTTCCCACCAAGGCCTCAGATTGACTAGCGGTAGCCTTGGAAATAGGACTTTATTTTGTATAGTACTTTTGCCACCAGGGTGGGGGGAAAAGAGTGCTTCTTTGCCCCAAATGCTGGTTTCATAAAACCTAAAGATGTCACATGGAAACACACCATTCCCCCAATCCCCCTCAAAAAACTACTTGCACTTAAATGAAAGAGTAAAGCTGTAGGACTTTACTGAGCAGTGTCCTGTGGGGTCCTTGCACTGCCATGCTCTTGAGGGGCTCGAGGTGTATGAATTCCCCAGCATTACTTCTCCTTAGAGGTTTCAGATGAGCAGTATGAGCTCCAAACTCATGCTAGACCCAAGTATTTCATGAAAGAACAATCCTTGAATGACTTTATACAGCAAAGCTATATTTCACTGTGTCCTAGAAAACCAATTGTGTGTGTTTGTGTGTGTGTGTACAACTGCTTGTGTTCTTTCTACCTATGTCCCCCTGATGCCTCCACACAGAACATCCCAAACTCCATTTCAGGTTCCTCTTGAGATTCCCAAACTTGGAAACAGGAGATGCTTCAAAGGCCTCTTGGAATGTCTTTTGAGGCTTTATATTGTGATATGTTGGACAGATGGTTAAGAAACAGAAGAAGAGCATCACCAAAAGGATTTCTCATTTTATGTGGAGATCTATTAATATTTGCCACTAGCAAAGGCATTCTTTCTTGGGAATGAATTATGCCCCTAGAATCAGATTGACCCCACAGAAACAAGGGAGAATAAATAGAGACTTGAGCTTAGACCTTACAACATGGCCAGAGCTGAAAAGGCTGAGCTCTAGGCAGAGAAGATGCAAGAGCAGCTTCAGAAGACCTGAGAGCTTATTTGGGTAGGTTCCTCTGGTGTAAAGGGTTCTTGTTCACGTTTTCTTCCAGAATAAGAAAAGAACGCAAGGTGTCAGAGGGTGGATGGAAACAGGGTATAAAGCAGGAGCATTTGGAATCTGCCCTTTGTAGCCTGGCCCAGAGAGCGTCAGGCAGCTTGTTGGGTAATAAGTAACACTGGCATTTTTCCCATGGTTCTGTCATCTTAAAGAGCAGGATACATAAAGGGATTCAGATGTCTTGTTGGTTTGGAGAAGCTTCTTTTTAATACCTTGTTTTAAAATTTACCTGGAATTTATTTTAATCAGGTGTGGTAAGATGCACAGACATGGAGATGACAGTCATGAAGGAAGAAGTATTTATACTCACAGATCCCTGTAAATAGGAAGCATGGCCTCCATGCAGGCCAATGGGGAAGCACCAGGGTCAGGCGCAAGGCAGAAGGAGCAAGAGGAAAACATGGACAAGAGGCTCTACTGTGGATTCAGTGGCAAAGAATGGGAGGGGCAGAGTAAGCAGGTTTAGGATTATCGGGTTTGAATGACTTGATTGAGCTGTAGGGTGTAGAGACTGCCTCTACTGTCTGGCACCAGGGGTAATTAGGGCAGCTGGATAGTGGTCTGGAGTGTGAGAGCTCCCTAAAGGAGGTGGTTGGAGGTGTAGGTTTTGGATTGGTTGATCTGTATATGAAAGGTGCACGTGCAGGGTGAGTCCTCTACTATCACTAGAAATTGGCTGGTCCCAGGAGAAGTAGTCTCTCTAGAGACAGCAATGCCCCAGATGTCAAAGCATCAGAAAATACAGAAAAAAAATTAAAAGCATGATTAATTCATACTCACAGGTCTAGTTTTTGTGTAGTTAAGAGCAACCTAAAGAAGTTGATAACTCGTGTTGCAGGTCAGGTTTCCCAGAAATCATATTCTCAGATGAAGATTTGCATGAAGGAGGTTTAATGCTCAAACTAAGCCCTAAGGCTCCATACCTGTGGAGGAAGTGAAAGAAGCCCAACTGGGCACAGAAGGTGGAACACAATGCCAGTCACACAAAGACCTCAGTGGATCCTGGGCCATGAGGAGCTCTAAGCACAGATGACCCTTCAGAAATGTCTCCAAGTGGGGAAAGGAATCATGCTAGTCACTGGATGTGGGCTTCCCACTCCACCCCATGAGGGCATGACCTTAAGTGAGAGAGCTCTTTGGACACAGGGCATCCTAAGAGGGGCACTCAGCAGCCACATTGGGCACCAAGACTCTCAGCAGCTAGAAGAAGAAGGTATAGTCCCAAAGGGGAATCTGGGCTGCACACCTTAGTATCCATTAGAACTGGAAGTAGGCTGAATCCCAGGCAGGGATCCCCTGGAGAACACAGGTAATTTTTAAAAAAATCAAGCTATGTGTCTGAGGCTATGTGGTAAGACATCTCAGTTTTCTGCTAGGAAAAGCCACCAAACCAGATTGGCTTATTCATGTTGAAAAGTCTGAGAATCACACTCAGATGTTGTTGATAATTCTGCTTGGATAAAATTTATCTATTGGTATGCTTGTGATATAGCAGTACCATTGCTAAAAATTCCATGCGGAGAATCCAATCTGCATCATTTTCTTTCTCAATGATTTGTTTTTAAAGGCAGAGGTTCGGCTGTGCCCCTTTAAACCTTCTGTGCAAGTGCCAGCTTCCTTTCAAATGGAGAAGCAGCAGCCCTGTCAGAAAGGGTGGCTGGAGCTCCCCTTTTGTGAGAGGAGGAAAACTTACTGGGAATTACCTGTTCGAGAGCCACACATGAAGGCATACCACTGCTTCCTCTGACCTTCCAGCCGGTATATTAATGACATACTGTTGTACCTGAGAACCAATGATGAAGTGGGTGATGTGCCTGGCACCTTAAAGGCCTGGGCCTGCTTTGACAGGGGAGATGATACACAACATGGCTGTTAGCCAGCTCTCACTGCATCTGGAAGCACCATGTTCCTTAGAGCCAAAGTTCTCAAACTGTGCTTCCTGCTGGGCTCCACAGATCCTTCCCGTTCCACCCTGCACACAAACGTGCACACACATACACACACACACACACACACACACACACACACACAGTGTTCTCAATGCTCGCCATTTAGTTAGTATGCACCAAATATGTGTAGTATCTGGTTCCACCCCTGGCCTCTCAGACAATTATTAGTATTTTTGGGAGCGGGGAGGAGAGTCAGGAAGACCCAAGCGCCATATTTATTATTTCCCCAGCCACCCCGGCCCAGGCTACATCCAAGTTCAAAGTCTATGACCCCCTCTCTGAGCTTTCAGCACTACCTCCCTTTGTGGGGGAGGGGGGTGCCAATTCTCTTTCTTCTCATCATCTCCTGTTGCAAAATAAAAGCCTAGGCATTCCTTTGAGAAACTTGGGCCTGGCATTGGAAGGCGTCTGACAAAGGCTTTGTTAAATGAGTGGAGGGAGGGACGGTCTGGGAGATACTTTTTCAGGTGGCATAGGACCTCCGCTTCTTCCCTTCTCACATGAGAAGGAAGATTTTTCTAGAAATCTACAGGTGTTTAAGCTGGAATGTGCCTCAGACATCATCTGGTTGGACCCTTTCATTTTGCAGCTCTGAGGCCTAGAAAGATTTGGTAACTTGCCCCAGGTCACAGTTGACAGAATTGCTCAGTGAAAAGTCCAGCATAAATACCCCAGCCCATGTGGCCACTGGCTGTGTGCTCAGCTAGTGAGGCACACTTACTTCTTAATTTGTGCCACCCACTTTTCAGGCTCCCTTAGGACAGCCTCCACCTGCTCCTACTGTGCTTCCCATCGTCCCTCTCCTCAGGCACAGGCTGAGGAGTAATAAGAGCACCTGATATGTGTCAGGCCTTACTGTGTGCTAGGAATTGTGCTAAGTACTTCCTATGAATTTTCCATTTATTCTTTATAATAACTTTGTAAAGTTAGAGCCATTATTCCAGAAGGGAAAACCGAGGCAATGGGAGTCAAAGCAAAGAATTTGGGCTTTTAACCATTACACTGTTTTGCACAAGTAGCCAGTAATGAAAAGGCTGCTCTCCGGAATCATCTTTGCAAAAGGTAATTTCTTTAGCACTTTATCAGAAGAAGGGGGCTCCTTCCTCAAATTCTGAGGGAAGAGAAGTGGGGAAGAAAAGATGACTGAATCCAAAGCTCGGGCAGGGAAAGCACATCGAGTGCCAAGTGCGCTGCGCTGGGGTCTAGTCCTGACTCAGCCGCCATCTTCCCAAGTGCTTCCTGGAATTCTCTCCTCTCGTGGGGCCTCAGCTCCTTCATCTTAGGAAAGAAGGGTAAAGATCTACAGACAAATTGATCTTTAAGTATCCTTAGAGCACTACCATTTTCAGAATCTAGGATTCTATATCCTTCCAATTATCTCTGTGTAGGGAATTATTGGTCGTGTCTCCTGATTAGGGAGCCGGACACTCGTCTGTCAGCCCCACCTGGCTCTGCAAAGTCCCTTGTGTATCTGCCCTGCCTGGTCACGGGAGAGGAAGAGACAAGGAAACACCACCGCTCCGACTCTGTGGAGCACGCGCTCTCTCCCACCCACACACCCGCTCAGGAGAGGAGGAACCTGCACATTTGAGTCTCCTCAGAGCCTCTGCAGACTCCCAGCAGGGGTCTGGCTTTCCTCTCAGGTAGCACAGTCATGCTGTAAACTCATTTGGGTCTTGCTTGGTATGATAATGCGTTTAGTTGAAGGGTTATATAATTGCAGAGTCGATGATGATCTCTAGGCCAATTTAAAGTCAAAGCTATTTTTAATGGAATTGCCAGAGGAGGGCAGGGATGGGGGCAGGGAGGAGAGATGGTTAGAGAGTGCTTTTGAAACCAACCTCCAACAATTTCAGCCATTGCATTTCCGAACCTGAATTTTCAGGGCAGAAATTGGACAATGCCAATTAAATCAGAGCAGGTGTATGTGAGAGCTGGGTTCACCTTCTTGCAGCTACAGTTTTATTTTGAATACTGTTGCAGGTAGTGAAAATATGACTAGGCTGAATAAGAGATCTCAGTCTATTCCCAGCTCAGCCAAAAGCCCTTAGTGTGTCCTTGATCAAGTTACTTCCCCTATCCATTTCCTTACCTGCAAATGAGAAGCTTGAACCAAACTATCCTAATGTCCCTTTCAACTCTAAAATCCTAGATGATCCTCAGATGTCAACAGTGCTGAAGCCCAGCACTGTAAGATGTCAGGTGGTCCGCAGAGGGTGAGGCTCTTCCTGCTCAAATTATTTCTTCCACCCAAGACTCCTCAGTTACCTCTGTACACAACCTTGCAGGCCCATCTAAGTATCCAATAACCTGGGGCTTTAGTTTACAAATTTTCTTGGGGAAGAAGGTAAAAGGGATCTAGCTTTCTGGGTTATGAATGCCATGTAGGGAGGGCATGGTTTGAGTTAGTCCTGGTGCTGGGAGTTCATGAGACTTATTCTCAAATCTTCAGAGAAGAAAATTCCGTGAACACCTGGGAACATCAGGAAAAAAAAATGTCCCCTAGGCTACTGTCAGGTTAGGCTGCTGGTTCTGATTTGACCTTGAACTTGCTATAATTGAACAAGATAAGCATGTGACCTAATGAAATACTTTAAAACTTGTAGCTTCCTTCAGCACAGAAGTGGCTCTCTGAACCAATTTTAAGCAATCCTGGCTCTATCTGTGCATGTTGATTTAGCCTGTGGTTATAGTGTTAACAATTTAGTGATTCACCTCATTTTTAATCTCTCTTTCCCTTTAGCAGGATCATTTTCTCTGTGTTAAGGGATCAACATTGAGGTAAGAATGGCTAAATAATAGCATCTTCTGGAATACAAATGACTTTATAAATAAAAGAAGATAAAAGGAAGAAGTAGGATGATTTCTCAGCTCTAATACACTTGGCAAATGCCATATGCTTTCTCCTGCGTGTACTGGTCAGGCCAGTTCTAGATACAATCATGCGCTGCATAATGATGTTTTGGTTAACAGTGGATTGCATATGTGACAGTAGTCCTTTAAGATTATAATACCATATTTTTGCTGTGCCTTTTCTAGGTCTAGATATGTTTAGATACACACATACTTACCATTGTGTTCCAATTGCCTACAGTTTCCAGTACAGTAACCTGTTGTACAGGTTTGTAACCTAGGAGCAATAGGCTATACCATACAGCCTAGGTGTGTAGTAGGCTATACCACTTAGGTCTGGGTAAGTACACTCTATGATGTTTTCACAGTGATGAAACTTCCTAATGACAAATTTCTCAGAATGTATCCCAGTTGTTAAGTGAGGCATGACAGTACTATATCTCAAGACTGTCCCCAAGCTGAAGTCTCCAGTGGACACAAAGACCAATGTATTTAGTTGAATCGTGGACCCCAAAAGTTCAAGTCCACCCAGAACCTCAGAATACAATTTTATTTAGAAATAGGGTCTTTGCAAATGTAGTAAGTTAAGATGAGGTCATACCAGAGTAAAGTGGGCCCTAAATCCAATATGACTAGCATCCTTGTAAGAAAAGGAAAAGGAACACAGACAGGGGAGAAGGCCATGTGAGAACAGAGACAAAGACTGGAGTGAGGCATCTACAAGACAGGGAACACCAAGGATTGCCAGGAGCCACCAGAAGCTAGGAAGAAGCAAGGAAGCATCCTCTTCTGGGGCCTTCAGAGACAGGATGGCCCTGCTGACACCATTGTTTCAAATGTTTAGCCTTCAGAACTGTGAGACAATAAATGTATATTGTTTCAAACCATCCAGTTGGTGGTACTTTGTTATAGGAAACTAATACATTCAGGATGGAGAGGTGTCTGGGAAGCCCATGAGAACAAATGGAAAGAGCCAGAAGCCCTCAACCTTGGCTCGTCTACAGTCCATTTTCTTCATTCCCGCATCCAGGCTTTGAGATGACAGGAAGCTGTGAAACCTGTGAATTGTCTCCACCGCAAATCCTGCTCCCTGGTCCCACCTAGACTGTCAGGGTTGTGTGGCAAGGCTTTCATGCCTCTCACTGACTGCCTAGTACGTCCCCTCAATGACTGGTCCACATCTTTCTCACCTTTCTCATGCATGGCCCCAGATCCACCCCAGTGCCTCGTCCTCAAGAGGTGATTTATTCCGAGACACTGATGAGAGCACTGTCCTTCCTGTGTCTGAGGGAAGGCATGTAACTCTTGCTTATCTTCACCTGTGCTCTAGATCCTGACCTTCTCTGGCAACCTCAGGGACCTTGCACCATCCATTCTTCTCGCCTAATGGCGAGACTCAGTCTCTCCCTCTCCCTTTCCACTCTCCCTTGCCATTCTTAGTATCTTTCTACAAGCAGGTCTTCCAAAGTACTGCTTGAGGTCTGAGTTGGAGGGAACATGCCTCTACCCTACTAAAAAGAGAAATTCCTCTGCAGAAGACCCAAGCTGACTGACAAATCCCTTTACTGTAACTGCAGCTCTAGCTCCCACCATTTTCCTGTACTTACTCTCCTGCTCAGGTTCCCTGGCATTGCTGATGTCTTTCAGCCTTTGTGCCCTGGCCCCTTTCCTCCTCTCCCCTCATCTAGCACTACCTGTCAAAATCAGGGACTTACTTTAAAATTTATCCCAAATTATCATTGCCATCATCTCCACTGTCACCTTATCATATGTTTGAATAGCGTTTCCATTTCCCACATGTTTTCGCATGCACTTTCTCAATTGAGCCTTACGAATCCTAGAGCTGAGAAGGGTAATAATTTATGAGTCCTTTGACAAATGTGGAAACTGACATCACAGAAAGTAAGTTGCCAGCCGATATGTCACTGTCTTCAAACTCTTCTTTGTATTTTTATTATCTCCCATTATATTCTGCCTCTTGTAATGATTATTTCTACATTGGTCATATCTTTCCTTCTGTACTGATCTTCGCTTATGATAACAAATAATAATAGTTTACCTTTGCATCACACTTGATGGTTTACAAAATGCTTCAAATTCAACATGGCCCTTGATCCTGAAGATATTTATCACTTAAGAATCATTATCGCCATTTTAAAATACAAATTTATTACTTGGGCTAAATTTTCTTATTATAGTTGGGATAGGCCTTCATCCATAGGGTGAGTGCAGTATTTGTGGACTGTCATGGCAGCTTAAACATTTAGTACTTGAAAATCTGATGCATTGATCATCAGAGAAATGCAAATCAAAACTACAATGAGATATTATTTCACCCCAGTTAAAATGGCTTTTAGCCAAAAGACAGGCAATAATGAATGCTGACGAGGGTGTGAAGAAAACGGAGCTTTCATACACTGTTGGTGAGGATGTAAATTAGTACAACCACCAGGGAAAACAGTTTGGAGGTTCCTCAAAAAACTAAAAATTGAGCTACCGTGTGATCCACCAATCCCACTGCTGGGTATGTACCCAAAAGAGAGGAAATCAGTATATGAAAGAGGTATCTGCAGCCGGGCGCGGTGGCTCACGCCTGTAATCCCAGCACTTTGGGAGGCCGAGGCAGGCAGATCATGAGGTCAGGAGATCGAGACCATCTTGGCTAACACGGTAAAACCCCGTCTCTACTAAAAATACAAAAAATTAGCCAGGCGCGGTGGCGGGCACCTGTATTTCCAGCTACTCGGAAGGCTGAGGCAGGAGAATGGCATGAACCTGGGAGGCGTAACTTTCAGTGAGCCGAGATAGCACCACTGCAGTCTGGCCTGGGTGAAAGAGCGAGACTCTGTCTCAAAAAAAAAAAAAAAAAAAAAAAAAGAAAGAGGTATCTGCACTCTCATGTTTGCAGCAGCACTGTTCACAATAGCTAAGATTTGGAAGCAACCTAAGTGCCCATCAACAGATGAATGGATAAAGAAAATGTGGTACATATATACAATGGAGTACTATTCAATAAAAAAAAAGAATGAGATCCAGTCATTAGCAACAACATGGATGGAACTGGAGATCATTGTGTTAAGTGAAATAAGCCAGGCACAGAAAGAAAAACATCTTATGTTCTTACTTATTTGTGGGATCTAAAAAGCAAAACAGTTGAACCTATGGACATAGAGAGTAGAAGGATGGTTACCAGAGGCTGGGAAGGGTGGTGGGGGGCTTAGGGGGAGGGTGGGATGGTTAACTGGTACAAAAACAGAAAGAATGAATAAGGCCTACTATTTGATAGCACATCAGGGTGACTATAGTAAATAATAACGTAGCTGTACATTTTTAAAAAACTTGAGTATAACTAAATTGTTTGCAACTCAATGGACAAATGCTTGAGGGGATGAATATGCCATTATTCATGATGTGCTTATTTCACATTGCATGCCTCTGTCAAAACATCATATGTACCCAATAAATATATACAACTACTACATACCCACAAAAATTAAAAGTAAAAAAAAAAATTAAGAAAATAAAAGAACAAAAGTAGATGTATTCTACATGTCTCCATATTGTAAAACTAGAACCAGTCAGTTAACTTTAGAGGAAGGGGATTGTGGACTTGATATAAAGACAACTTTATAATATGCAGAGCAGCCTAATCCTACAATTGTCAAAAAGTATAGTGGATTCTTTATTTATTTGTCCATGATATTATAGAGGTCATTTCTGCTTTAACAAGTAGGTGGGAGATAGCTAGGTAGGATATATTTTGTTCTTATTTTTTATTTTAAAATATTGGGCTGTGGCTGGACATGGTGGCTGAAACCTGTAATCTCAGCACTTTGGGAGGCTGAGGCAGGCAGATCACCTCAGGTTAGGACTTTTCGAGACCAGCTTGGCCAATATGGTGAAACCCCATCCCTACCAAAAATACAAAAATTAGCCAGTTGTGGTGGCATGCACTGTAGTCTCAGCTCCTTGGGAGGCTGAGGCAGGAGAATTGCTTGAACATAGGAGGTGGAGGTTGCAGTGAACTGAGATTACGCCACTGCACTCCAGACTGGGAAACAGAGTGAGACTCTGTTTTATATATATATATATATATACACACACGTACATATACATGTATATATATACACATTATTATTGAAAGCAGCCAAAGAAAAATAACACATTATATATAGAGAAAGAGCAAATGATGAGTGACTTTATATGTATATATATGTGTGTGTGTATATATATAATGTGTATATATATACATATATATATATAGGTTAAGAACCTTCAGCACATGTATACCTATGTAACAAACCTGCATGTTCAGCACATGTATCCCAGAACTTAAAGTGAAAAAAAAAAAAAAGAACCTTCTGCATGCCAGTAACTGTGCTAAGTGATTAGGATGCAATGGTAATAAAAACAAAGTCCCTCTCCTTAAAGAATTTTCTATTTAGAAGGGAAAACTGGTAAATAAAAAATAAATATATAAATTACAATTTGTGAAAAGTGCTACACATGAAAGAGTGCTGAGACAGACATCAATGGATAAACTTTAGATTGAGAAGGGCTCTGACAAAGCAACATTTAAGGTGCAACCTGAGAGAATAGAAGGTAAACAGGCAGATATTGGTGAAAGAGCAGTCTAGGCAGAGGGAACATCATTTGCAAAGGCCCAGGGTAAAGAAGATCCTGGTAAGGAAATGACAGTGGAAGAAGGTTAGTGTAGCAGGACTGTGGCTAGGGCGGAGAGGCAGGGAAGTAGTTTAGAATTTCAATGCAATAGGAAATATGGAAGATTGAAGGCAGTTTTGCATTATAAAATAATATGATTGCTATTTTAAAGCTACTTTATCTAAGGATGGAAGATTCTTAAATAAACTTGTGTATACTTGGACCACACCACCATGAGCAGCAGCTGCTCTAATTCAGAGCAGTCCTCCTGCCAAACGCTGTGTGAGACAAAGCTCTGATTCATAAAGGGGCATTTTTCTCTGGGAGAAAACCAGTGATCCATCTGTAGAAGTACCTGAGTCTAAGGGGAGACGAAGCAGCAAAAGAAATTGGCTTGTGAGGACAGGGACATTGTAAGAATGAAAAGAGGAAGGGAGGTGCTGAGCCCTTTTTCTTTTTTCTTTTTCATTTTTCTTTTTTTTTTTTTTTGAGACGGAGTCTTGCTTTGTCGCCCAGGCTGGAGTGCAGTGGCGTAATCTCAGCTCACTGCAACCTCCGGCTCCCGGGTTAAAGCGATTCTCCTGCCTCAGCCTCCCAAGTAGCTGGGACTACAGGCCCTTTTTCTTAATCCACAACCTTCAGTTGGATTTTGCAAATGAGTCTGTCTTCACTGTTTCCATTCAGTGGCTGGAGACAACTTGGAAGAGAATCTCAGAAATAACTCTGGCTGCTCACCCAGTTGTTTGTAAATTTTTATTGAGACTCTACTGTGTGCCAGGCTGTACCAGGCACTCAGATATGACAGTGAATGAGATAGGCAACATCTTTGCCATTGGAGAGCCTACACTGAAGTGGACATGAGGGAGTTGAAAGCAACTCTTATAGGAAATCATGGTAAAGACGTCCAAGAGAAGAAAGATGAAGGGCAAACACATGCACGGATGCCAAACATCTATCAGAGAGAAAGGAATTTTCAGACCTGACCTGAATGATGAAAGGAGGTTTTTGGAAAGGAAAATAGAAGGGAAGGACAAGGGAAATTATCTGGGCAGCAATATTTATCTGCTGTGGTGCTTCACTCTCTCTCTAATCCTTTTCCACCCCAGCCCCAAATTTGAAAGGATTGCAGGGAGCTCCTGCTGGAGTCATTTCTGGTATTAAAAATGTACAGAAAGGAAAGCTTTGGTTCTGAGTTTGCAGGCTTCCCTGTCTTTCATTCCTATTGTAGAAAGCAGCTTATATAAAAAGATGTGCTGTGTGGCCCTTTGAGCTGCTGTGATTGTGTTAGGACCCCACTGGATGGTATTCGCATGAATTAATCTACTGTAGCATCTCTACAAATCAAGAGGCTGGCTTCTGTTTGAAATGTCCCAAGGCTTTGTGCACAGGGCAAGCTAAATGTCTCCCTACAGTGAGACTGAAAATGCCTTGGGTGCCCTTGTCGATAGGATCTGATGTATAGATGCATGTCTACAATTGCACAGTGGCTGCTGGCAACATTTATTACAATCTGAATGTGAAATGGCTATTCTGTTCAAGGATTCTGATAAAAAGTATCAGCCACAGTAGATGTATAAGGAGCCTGGTTTCACTGCAACTGACTACAGTTATCTGATTTTTTTTTTCTAGTTCATTTTTAGTCTGTGGAGCAAACAGAGATTTCCTCCCCAAATGATGTCCTTTCTCAGTCACCAGGGTGTGGTTATTTGGTTTTATGTAGAGGAGATAGAAACCAATCAGTCTAAATCATATTCTGTTGAAATCAGAACCAAAGGATCCACAATCTAGCTCCAATCTAACTTTCCAGCCTCAACTCCTACCTGTTCTTTGTTACTCTTACCCCTCTAAACCACTTGTGGGATCCTGAACTTGTAACCTGTGCTCAGACTGGTGCTTTTGCACTTCTCTGATGGGAAAGATTTCTCTCATCTTTTATGATTCAGCTGAAGTTTCAATGCTTCTGAAATTTTTTCCTGCTCCTGCTGGAGAGCTTGTTTCTTCTGGATTCCCATAGGTCAGGTCCTGTGTTTGGCATTGGGATACAAAGCCAAGTAACATAGCATCCATATTCTCAAATCCTCACAATTTGGTAGGAATATAGACAAGTAAATACACCCTGTGCAACCTTTTGTAACAGAGGTATAAAAGGGTATGAAATAAAGAATTTAATCAAATCAAATTGAATATGGGCTTCAACTCTGAGATCTTCTTCCATGATGAGGTTCCCAGTTTACTCTAGTGAGGTCATGATTCCATACTGGCACTCTTCTAGGCACATAAGGCTCTATCCTATTATTAAATAAAGATTATTACCATTCTCACTGCAAGCAGCAGCAACCTGACACCATCATCATCATAAAATAAGTAAAACAGAGTTAATTAAGTGTGAACTTTCTAAACCAACATTGTATGAGATAATTACTCATAAAAATGATTCTTCACTTTCCAAAGGTGCCTCTAAATACTAAGATTTCTGTTACAATAAAACTTAGATCCAATTTACAGATATTAAATTTGGTCCATTTTCCAAGAATATTTTCTTTTCTCATAAAATAAAAAAAGTATGTGAGAATATTAGCACAAAGGGGTTGCAAAATAAATTTTATTTATCCAGATGTGAGATAAGAGGCACATGCGTCTTTTTTCTTGTTTTACTGCACTGGTTAGGACCTCTAGTATGTTGAATAAAAGTGGTAAGAATGGACATTCTTGCTTTGTTTCCAGTTTGCTTTAATATGTTTTCTGTCAGTTTTTCATAGATGCCTTTTATCAGACTGATTAATTCAGTCTATTATTATTTCAGTATGTTATTCAGTTTATTATTTCATAATAATTTTTTAAACCATGAATGAGTTTGAATTTTGTCATTCCTTTATGTATCTGTTGAAATGATCATATCGTTTTGCTTTCTAAAGCTTCTAATATGGTTTAATCACATTTATTGATTTTTCAAATGTGAAGCAAATTTAAATTCATGGCATAAATCCTACTTGGTCATCGATGTGTTATCCTTTTTGTATGCTTCTGGGTTCAATCTGATACTATTTTGTTAAGTATTTGTGGTGTCTTTTCATGAGAGATGTTGGTCTGCAATTTTTTTTTCTTGTAAGGTTTTTGTAAGGGTTTAAGAAAGCAAGGTCAGGTAAGCTTCACAAAGTAAGTCAAGAAGTATTTTCACCTTTATCTTCTGAAAGAATTTATGCAACGTTGAAATTATTTGTTTCAGAGATGGTCAACAGAATATACCAGAGAAACTATTTGGACTTAGAGCTTCCTTGGGGGAAGGTTTTTGATAAATAATGCAATTTCTTTAATACATAGTACTTATATTTTCTATCTTACCTTGTGACAATTCTGATGAATTGTGTTTTTCAAGAAGTTTGCCCATGTCATCTGAGTTGTTAAACTTACTACAACAAAGTCTTTGATAATATTCCTATATTAGCCTTTGAATGTCTATAAGATCTGTCCTGATGTTCCCTCTCTCACTTTTTTAAAGAAGTCTTGCTAGAGGTTTACCAATTTTATTTTGTTTTATTTTATTTTATTTTTTCTTATTTGAGACAGAGTCTCGCTTTGTCGCCCAGGTTGGAGTGCAGTGGCTCGATCTCGGCTCACTGCAAGCTCTGCCTCCCAGGTTCACGCCATTCTCCTGCCTCAGCCTCCCGAGCAGCTGGGACTACAGGCACCAGCCACCATGCCCGGCTAATTTTTTGTATTTTTAGTAGAGACGGGGTTTCACCACGTTAGCCAGGATGGTCTCGATCTCCTGACCTTGTGATCCACCTGCCTCGGCCTCCCAAAGTGCTGGGATTACAGGCGTGAGCCACCGCGCCTGGCCGAGGTTTACCAAGTTTATTAATCTTTTCAAAGGACTACATTTTGGCTTTGATAATTTTTCCTATTTTTTATCTACATTATACTGATTCCAATTCTTATCTTTATTCTTTTCTTCCTTCTCTTCACTTTGGGTTTAATTTGTTCATTTTTTTTTCTGGCTTCTTGAGATAGAAGCTGAGATCATTGATTTTGAACCTTTCTTCTTTTCTAATAAGTGCATTTAAACTTACACATTTCCCTTTAAGCACTGCCTTAGCTGTATCTCACAAATTTTGATATTGTCTTTTCATTGTCTTTTATTCAATATATTCTAATTTTTCTTGTGATTTCTTCTTTGGCCCATAGGCTGTTTAGAAATATGTAGTTAGTTTCCAAATATTCGAAGACTTTCACAGATACCTTACTATTATTGATTTCTAATTTAATTCTGCTACAATCCAAGTATATACATTATAAAGTTTCAGCCTTTTGAAATGTATTAAGAATATTACCAGAGATAAGAAGATAAGAATATTACCAGCGATAAGTAGGGATATTTCATAAATAATAGACGAATTGATTCATCAAGAATATACAACAATCATAAATGTGTATGTGTCTAATAACAGAGTCTCAAATTATATGAAACAAAACTGACAGAACTAAAGAGAGAAATGGCCAATCCCACAATCTTTATCTTTATCAGGTGATTTATCTTGGTGAACATTCCTTGTGCTCTTGAAAAGAAAGTGTATTCTGTAGTCATTGGGTATAAAATTCTATATATGACAATGAGGTGATTGATAAAATTATTTAGATTGTCTATATCCTAAGTTTTGTAGAATTATTTCATGAATTACTATGACAAGGATGTTAACAACCTACAGCTATGATTGTGGAATTGGCTATTTCTCTCTTTAGTTCTGTCAGTTTTGTTCCATGTAATTTGAAACTCTGTTATTAAACACATACATTCATGATTGTTGTATCTTCCTGATGAATTGGTTCCGTTATTATTTATGCAATGTCCCTATTTATCTCTGGTCATATTCTTTATCTTGAAGTCTTTTTAACTGATATGAATGTAGCCACTTCATCCTTTTTATGCTTACCATTTGCATAGTTTATATTTTTCCATTATCTTATATTCACACTATTTATCCCTTTATACTTAAGTCCATGTCTTGTAGACAGTATGCAGTTAATTGTGTCTTGATTATTTTTACTCCTTTCTGACAATTTCTGCCTTTCCATATAATATGCTTATCAATACAGTTGGAGTTAAATCTACCGTCTTGTTATTTGTCACATCTCCCATCTTTTGTTGTTGTTCCTCATTTCCTTGTTTATTACCTTCTTTTCAGTTATTTTTTTTTTGTATTCCATTTTAATTCCTCAATTGGCTTTATAGCTATATATCTTTGTATTATTTTTTATTGTTTGCTCTAGGGATAGCAATATGTATACTTACCACAGACAATTTAGAAATCATATTGTACCACTTCACATAAAATAGAAGAAGCTTGCAGCAGTCTATGTCCCTTTACACTCCCATTCTTTGTGCTATTGTTTCCGTATGTATTACATCACGTACATTGTAAAATCCACAATAGAGTGTTATAATCTTTTTCCAAATCCTTGTGTGAATTAAAAATTTTATGAGTAGAAAAATACATATAACATTTTATTCTTACCTACATACTTACCAGTTCTGCTTTCTTTTCATTCTTACCTGTTTCAGTCTTATCTGTAAACCCGTTTTCATTTGGTGTCATTTCCATTAGCATTTCAGTGCAGAACTTCTAGCAACATATTCTCTATTTCCATGTATCTTAAAATATCTTTATTTTGCCTTCGTTTTTGAAATATATTTTAATTGGACATAGAAATCTAGGTTGGCAGTTTTCTCTTATACTCTTGGGTTTCATTGTCTTCTGATTTCTGTTGTTTATGAGGAAAAGTCATTGATTATTTGCTCTTTCTCTATACACAATGTATTATTTTTCTTTGGCTGTTTCAAGATATTTTTCTCTTTATCTGTGGTTATCAACACTTTGATTATGATGGCCTAAGTGGTATTATTGTTGTTTGTATTTATTCCACTTGGTGTTCCTTGAGCTTCTAACTTCTGTGAGCTTTTTATTTCTCAGCGAATTTGGAAAAATTTAAGCCAATTATTATATAATTTTTCTTCTCCATTCTTTCTACTCTCTTTGGAACTCCAGTTGTACATAGGTTAGACTGCATGACGTTGTCCCATAGATCACTAAGACTCTGTTCATTTTTCAATTTTTTTCTCTATGTTCTTCAGATTGGACAATTTATCTTGATCTCTATTAATGTTCACTTATCCTTTATTATGCCACCTTCAATCTGATATTAAGGCCATTCAGATCTAGAATTTCTATTAGGTTATTATTTATAGTATTAATTTCTCTGCTAAGATTTTTTGTCTGTTCATTCATTATGACCACAATATTAGGTTCTTAAACATATTTTAATAGCTGCTTTCAAGTCCTTGTCAGTTAATTCCATCTGAGTCATCTTGGGGTTATTTTCTATTGAGTGATCTTTACCTTATCTGTCGGTCACATTTTTTTCTGTTTCTTCACATGTCTAGTAATTATTTATTGTTTGCTGTATATTGAAATGAAATATTATAAACAGTATCAATTACATTATCTTCCTTTTAAGGGTATTGAGTTTTGTTCTGGAAGTAGTTAAATTACTAGTAGAACTTTTTGTTCCTGTCAAACTTGATCTTATTCTTTGTTACAGTGAGCCTATTTTAGTTTTAAAGTTAGTCCTAGGGTACAACTCTTGCTCTATTGTATGCTCCTTACTTCTATCACATTTATTTCTATTGCCTGAGATAGTCAATGAGTTCTCACCTGAGCAGGAACTGCAACATTTCTTGACATGGTCTTACCTATGTATTCATCATTCATCTCTCAGGCCTGTAAGAAGAGATCTCTGTTGGGTCCTGTGGAATCTTGCTTGCACTTGGACAGCTCAGCCTTCAGCCAAAGACTTGCAGGAAAACCCCATAGAAACATCTGGGCCCTCTCAATATTTGATGTTTAGGAAGCTAAACGTCAAGTATAGCCTCCTTTTCTAGGGACCCTATCTTGTGAATTTCACTCACCTTAACAACTCAGAACTCTTATCTTCTGCCTTCTCAGGGGAGCTAAACTGTCACTTTCTGTGGGCTCCATCTTCCTGCTCCACAATAGGAAAGTATCTGCAGAGAAAAGGCTGGACAATTGTGTAGTAATTGCTTCACGCATTTCCCTTCTCTCAAAGATTGTAAGTTTGCACTGTTTGCTGTTCAATACCTGAAAATGATTTCTACAAATTGTTTTTCCAGTTTTATGATTGTTTTCAATGGGAGATCATTTCTAGTACCAGTTCCTCCATCATGGCCAGAGGTACAAGTTCAACTTGGATCATTTTAAAAATACAAACTGGGGCATGTCACTTCCTGCCCCAAACCCCTTGGTAGCTTTCCATTGCTCTTAGAATAACTTTGTGATCTACAACATCTTCTTCAAGGCCCCGCATGATACAAATTCTGGCTATTTCTCTAGTTTCTTATTGCACCACCTTGTCCCTCATCCACCTTTTTTTTAGTCTTCTCTCTTTCTTTGAACTTCTACCACCAGGTTTTTTCACACGTTCTTCTTTCCCCATTAACAATGATCCACCATTCTCTTTCTTTATCCACTGTTACTCATCCTCATAACTGAAACATCATTTCCTAAGGATGGCCATTCCTGGTTCAGTCAGTCTATATTTCATCCCCCATCACATACTCTTGTTTTACCCTATATTTTTCCTTCAAAGCACTTATTTAAGTTGTAATTATGTGTTGTTTATTTTATGTCTGTCTGCCCTCACAGAATCCACAGTCCAGGAGAACAGAAATCCTGCCTCTTTTATTTATACCACATCCACAGTATTATTAGTGCCTGTCACCTAGTAGGTATGCAGTATGTACCTATTGAATAAATGAATTGACTTCTGTCTTTTAGATCGTCTACTCATTTTATCATTGATGACAAACATAATACCTTACATTCGTGTAGTCTTTTTCACTCCTCAAAGAGGATTTTCTGCATAGCTCCTCTGAGCCTCACAAAACCCTTTAAGGAAGATTGTGAATATTATCAGATAAAGATTGTGAGACACAGAAAAGCCAGATGATTTGGCAATGCTCATAGTACCAGAGGCAGAAATACAGCTAGAACAGTCTCCTGGCCTCTAATCAGGAGTTCTTTCCAGAACACTGCTTCATCTTCCATTCTCTTGGGTTCTTTCTATCCTTACTTTATAGGGCAAAATGTGTGCAAAGTATAATCCCTCTTTTGCAATGTGTTTTTAGTTTTTCAGATTGGAATCATGTAGGCTTTTTATGCCCTTAATAAATATCAGTGAGCACAAAGGAAGTCCTGTGAGGGCTTATAATCATTTTGCTCCCATTAATTCCAACACTGAGCAGTTTCCCCATTTCCATTCTTGGCCTTGTGAAGCTCTTTGCTATCCCTGTTAAAATCTAAAGTTGCTTGAACCTTCTTATTGCAAAAATGCATCTTAAACATTCTAATACCTCTTTTTTAAAAAACCAATAAAGACTACGTCAAAAATCAGCCATCAATCGAGAAGCCCTGCAGTCATTTGTGTGCTGTTGTCCCTAAGTAGAAGTGAATGTGCTGAGCTCTGCATTCCCCACCTAGCTCCTCTGTGATCAGGGTGGACATTCCCAGGACAACTGGGCCGAGGCTGGAAACACCATCTGAATGTCTGACCACACAAAGTTGAGTGGCTGATCCAGGTTTAACCTTGACCTCATCAGCACCACCTTCTAAGCAACACTTTGGCTCAGAAGCCCAGTTATTTATTCCAAGGGATGATTGAATGCAGTGCTAGTGTTTCTTCAGGGCTTTTGAACTCATTTATTTATCCAGTCATTTATAAAAGATGAAGAGGAGAACAAGGTAGGCCAAAGTGGCTTTGTACTATTAAAGGCTGCTTGATTTCTAAGTACATGTTCTTTGCCACCTTTCTGCCATTCCACATTCTAGAAGCCATGGGTAAGTCAGCACAGGGATCTTAACATGATAACATTGGTTTTAGGAGGTCTCGTGCATAATGGACCAGACTTAGAGCACAATGCTGTAAGGTAGTGATTTAGGTGAGCAGCAGATTCTGGCTTTAGGAGTTTATTATCAGATGCTTTTTAAACGACTTGTGGCCCAGGATCCCTGCACCCATGGGAAGCATTGTAGCCTTAGAACTCTGGGAATTCTGAATATAATTCCTGAATCAATCGTAAGGATGCATATCTGATGCTTAGTGCAAACCAAGAGGCAGAATATTTGCAGGCAGTGTATCCTTGAAAAACAAATCTAGGTCATTTTCCTGCCATGCTTCAAGCTTACTTTTCCATCCTTCCTGATGGTAGTACTAACTACATTTGTAGACCATTTACGTGGTCAACACTGTGCTAAGCTGTTAGCTTCATTCTCTATGAGACAGGCACTCTTAGCCCAACTTTACAATTGGGAAAACTGAGACTCAATGAGATAAAGTAAATTCTTTACAGTCATTATGCTAGTCCATGAAGGAGCTGCGATTTGCAACTAAATCTATCTGATTCCACAGTCTTTGCTTTTAACCAGAGGTTAGCAAACTACTTCTGTAAAGGGAAGACAGTAGGTATCTTAATCTTTGTGGGCAACATAGGGTCTCTGTAACGTATTCTTCTTTCTGTCACAATCTTCTGGAATGTAAAAAACATTTAAAATTTACAAACCTTACAAGAACAGCTCATGGGCTAAATCAGACCTGGATTTAGTCTGTGAATCATAGTTTGCTGACCCCGCTTTTTAACCAGTATGTACCCTCCTTCTCGGGATGTGAAAAATTAGTGCAATTGCAATGGAAAATAGCAAGAAAATGGTAAGGGCCTGGAAGAGGCAGCAGGATTACATCAGGTGCTATCCCTGCTCTGGTGAGATGAAACTGGGGATCATTGAACCACCTGGCATTTGTTAAAGAGTTCTGCTTTCCCTCTGAGATTCTTTCAGGAACCTCACACCTCTAGCAGCCCGGAGAACCGTGGGCTGCAAGGAAATGCCTCCTCAAAGGAGTAGAAAACCTGCAGGATAGAAATCATCACATCTGTCTGGCTTTTCTCAACCTTTCTCTTCTGCACTTTCTTGGATATAATCAAAGCACTACCAGGAACTCCAGAGTCGGCACCTTTTCATTTTTGTGTTTTCATTTAATTATTTCTCAGCTGCTAAGTGTTTGACTGTTTAAGGGACTCTAGTGGTAAATATTTGTCTTTAGCCTGGCAGAAGCTGTGGTTTCCTTTGATGAGCTCACACGGTGTGGCTTTTAAGATGCTGCTGACCAGGACAGCTGACTGTCCCCAGTGGGTGCAGTCCCCAGCAGTGGGCTGGACCCCTTCCAGAAAGCGCTGCTGGGCCAAGAGGCTTCCTCCAACTTCCCGCTGCCCCCATCTAACCAACACCTCAGTCTCTTCTCCACCTGCTTCCCTGCCCTCTTCCTTTCCCTCGCAGACACTTTCTTCTGCCTGGCAAAAGGAATCTTGTTTCCATGGAAGCCTCATTAAATCTGCATCTTGCTCAGTTTGGGTTTGATCACGGCTGCCAGAAGTATTTTTAGCCCATGCAGTTGCGTAATGAGATAGAGATTGGGGAAAGGGGGAGGTGACTGTATAGGCAGAGGGTTTTTTTTAAAAAAAAGTGAGAAAAAGAAGGAAAACCTCTAAAGAAAAGAGTTTTATGGAATTGGAAGAAGGATGGAGCACCTCTTTTGGGAGCATGAGGCTGGTGTTCTCTGGTTAGCTCTTCCCACTGGAAGCCCATGGACACTTGCCATAATACCTGTCCTGGTCACATGTCAGGGGAACCTCTGATCTCCCTTTCCATGAGCTTAGTTGGCCCAGCCAGGGTGACACTTATGCTAGGGAGTGTGATTGATGTTGCTGCTTACAGATTTCCCCTCCCACAGACCTGATGGGGCAGCCAGGATAGTGGCAGAGAAGAAGACAGAGCAATAGCAGGAAAGAGAGGACAACACTAACACATTGGAGGTTTATGTTCAAAGACGGGATCTAGGGGGTCAGAGAAAGCACACCTACCATGTAATTGGTGCTGGAATCTGATGCCAAGTGCACCCTTGGCTTCTGAGGTTCTGAGAACTCTTGCTTGTGCTTTTCAGCCAGACTATGCCCTCACCTGCCCCTGTACTTTAAAGAGCTCTTTAGGCTGGAGTGGTTGTTTGCATTGGATTGTTGGAGTGTGTGTGCATGTTGTTGTGTTCTTGTATTACAAGACAAAGAGATTAAAAAAAAACCACATGCAGCTGTCACAGCTAATGTTTATTGAACTTTTACTATGCCACATGGTGTTTTAAGCATTCTATATGTGTTAACTCATTTTCCCTAATTCTATGGACTAGACACTTAAACAGTCTCCATTGTACAAACAAGGAAACTGAGGCACAGAGAGGTTGGGAAACTCATTTGAGGTCCTCCAGCTAATTAATAGTGGAGCCAGGTTTTGTACCCAGACAACCGGATTTGAGAATCTGCAGTCCTAGATTAGTAACGTGTTGTTGGCCTGTCACACATTTTAAATGACATTCTGTACACAGAACCATTTATAGTAACTTTGTATTGTTGAGCTGAAAGCAGTCTGCAGATGTGCTGCTGGGATTTCATTCATCTTCAAAGAGGTGTTTTTTTTTTTTTTTTAAAGGAAAATGCTTTTCTGAGGGTGGTATCTAAATTCATAAAAATCTTTACGATCAAGATTTTCACAAATTTCATTCTGACTCTGTTGCATTGCCCTTCTTCCCATATTCCCAGTTAGTTTGTATTGATTGCTGCATCTCCCTTGAGCCCATGGTCCCCCACAACATTTCTTGCAGAACTGTGTCCTGCCTTCACACTGTCAGGCAGCAGGAGCCTCTCTAGCGGCCAGCCCACAGTCCTGCAGCTCCTTCCTCAGGACGTTTAATTTCCCACATTTCTATGCAGTTACCTCACAGAAGGATGGCTACGAGGGCCTCACTTGGCTTGGCAAGTTGGTCCCCTTTTTACTCACAAGACTCTGTTTATCTCTTTGTTTATCTTTGTTTATCTCTTTGTTGACCTGCCCCTCTTCAAGGCCTCAGTTTTCTCTGAAGTTTACAGCTTCCCTCCTCATCCCGCAAAAGACCAAAGTGGAAAAGATGAAACCAGAATCCACTGCAAGCCCCACCTGCCACAGCCTCTCCTCTAAATGCATTCTCTGTTGTGTTTAGGACTTGAGAATGAAGAGGGACATGAATTGAGGATTTGTTTATTATTCTTTACAATATCCCTGTGAGCTGAGTACTGTAAATACCCCCATTTGATACATGAGTAAACTGAGGTGTGGAGTGATAGAGGAATTTGCTCAAGGTCACATAACTAGTAAGTGGGTGGAGCTGTGATGTGAAACTGGGCAGTCTGATTCTGGGACCTGTGCTCTTAATCACCAATCTATATTGCCTCCTACTTGAAAACATCCAGGGAAAATGTTGAGATAGATCAGCTGAAATCTTCTTGCACAGTAAAGCAGGGGCCACCTGTCCTGGAGTTACATTCATCTTGTTCATTGTCAACGATTTGTGTTCAGTGACACCCTCTTCAGCCCAAGAACTTACCTGGGTGCTGTGACAATTGGACATGACTAGGAACAACCAGTGACAATGTAGCCCATCCAAACACAGGGTAGGAAGTGGATGCTTGTCACTCTCTTTTGGTTATAAGAAGCAGGAACCCAGTAAAGGCACCTTTTATATATCTATAAAGTTGAATATATAAGATATATGGGGGCCAGGCACAGTGGCTCACACCTGTAATCCGAACATTTTGGGAGCCCAAAGCAGGTGGATCACCTGAGGTCAGGAGTTCAAGACCAGCCTGACCAACATGGTGAAACCCCATCTTTACTAAAAATACAAAAATTAGCTGGGCGTGGTGGCACACACCTGTAGTCCCAGCTACTTGGGAGGCTGAGGCAGGATACTTGCTTGAACCCGGGAGGTGGAGGTTGCAGTGAGCAGAGATTGCGCCACTGCACTCCAGCCTGGGTGACAGAGCGAGATTCCACCTCAACGAAAAAAAAAAAGAAGATATATGGGTATGTGTAGAACTCACAGAAGGGCAAACAGGCCTTAACAGGTGCTGAAAACAGGAACTGGGAAGTTGCCAGTACCTTCCTGTCTTTTCCCCTGGAACCAAACGGTTTCTTACTTGCTTCTCTCTGCACCTCTGTCTCATTTCCCTCTCTCTTCAGATGATTTTTCATTGTTGCATCACACACATAGAAAAATCAGGATCCACCCTCCCAAGTTTACATATCGTTGTTTCAGGCAGCCATAGTATCCTTAAAACTCCACATTCCAGGGAGAAAGCTTGGGTCAAGGATTCAGCCAAAGGGCAGCGAAATGGAGTAAAGATGCAACTGCCAGGTCTATGGGCAGCAAGGAGGCCGGGAAGGAAGCCGCTGTTGTGGTCCAAGTGACAATTCAACAGCTCAAAGCATAAGTAAGTTGTGTGCTTTTCACAGATGGAGAAACTGAGGCACAGAAGGAACCTGGCTGGGGTCCAGGTCTCTGGCCTTTGTGTCAATGCTAGGTCACTGGATGTGGCGTCTGATTTCTACAGGAAATGTGGTTTCTCTACTTTGTCCCAGAGCCCACTCAGAGCACTGGCTGGCCAGGGGGTCCTAGGGCCCTCTTAGGATAGTCTCAGGCCAACAGCCCCAGGACAGAAGCAACCAAAGTGAAGTTATGAAAGAAAGCTCTTTGCTGATCTGTCAATGGCACCCTTGTAGAGCCAATACTTAGAACACCTGGATTTGAATACTCATCTCCAAAACCTGTGTTCTTTCTACCACGTGACAAGCCCTTGTAAACCTCACAACGTCTCTATGAGGTGAGCGCTTGCAGATCCACACTTTAGATAAGCAAATGGAGGCTCAGAGGGTAAGCAGCTAGTTCAAGGTTATGCACCTGAGCCAGGATGTGGACACAGCTCTGTGTCTGATTCCTAAGGGCCTGTGCTTTAGCCACTTTGCAATACTGCTGCTGTCTGCTTCATTTCCTCATCTGTCAGATGGGAACGATAATACTCAACTCACATGGATACTGTATGAGGAAAAACAGATAAAAGAAGAGAAAGTGCTTTGAAAACATAAGCAGCCCTGGCAGATGGGAATTATTTTTGCTGCTGACACACATCCTCAGCCTTGAGGGCTCTGCTGAGCCATACCCAGCTCAGAGCTCTGGAGGCACCTCCTCCCCATCAACAGCAGGGGGGACATTCTGTCTTCATCCTGAGCAGGCTGACAAACTGAACCCCACTCCTCCCTCAATGTCCCCATGCTGGGAAGGAGTATAGCTCATGCTGTGTTCTGTCTTGTTGCTGAGAGAATGCAGAACCCAGAATTTGGGTCTCAGCAGGTTGGGGAGAAAAGGAAATGTATTTCTTCCCCCAAGATTTCTTTTTGAAATATTTTCATTTGTGGAATCAGATTGTGCATGCAAGTTTCTTCCAGAAATGTAAGACGTCGTAATGATGGGAACTGTTGGTTTTATAATTGAAGGATGGGAAAGGAAACTGATATTTATGGAGCACCTGTTCTATACCAGGCAGCTACCCAACCATCAGCCATTGTTGCAATGTTATGCAAGCTTTATTATCCACATTTCACAGTCTGAGTCTGACTCAGCAATGTTGTGTTCTATGTGCTAGTTCCCACAGGTAGGTGGCTGCAGCGCTGGGATTTGAACCCATCTCCAAAGCCTCCATCTTTCTACCACTGCCTCCCATTGGTGGGGAGGCCATGGACTGGCTGTCAGAGATGTCCTTTCCAGTCTAGCAGACTAGGAAGCTGCTGGAAGCTACTTATGCAAAGGTCAGCAAGGAAGGAAACAGAGTCAGAACTAGATGGGGCTCCCCTGGCCACTTTTCCATGCTGGCCCACATGTCCGGCTAGCAGTCAACATTGGGTCTTATGCAGAGCCACCTGTGTTCAATGGAAACATCCTGGACACTGCACAAACTAGTGGGAGCCTGGGAGGGAACAGCCTGTCAGGTTCATTGAGGTTCAGCCCAACTCATGAGCTAGGGCAGGTACCAGAGGGTGTGTTCCACCCAAATGGGGCAGGTAGGCAGGGGACACAGGCTCCATTTTCATGACCAAATACTGAGCAGAGAGGCTCTCTGAGCAGTGGCAGAATGGGAAGTGTCAAGAAGCTTTGTTTGACAATTGAGTCAAGAGGACAGAAAAGACAGAAAGCAGACATCAGAATTGGGAAGGCTCACCCCAGCTCCTTGACAAAGGTGCATGAGGCCAGTTCTTGAAGCAGTGACCCTGCCTTATGTCATGTGTTTATCAAAGCCGGCCCATCAGCCCTGAAGTGGCCTCTGTGTTTAGAAGAGGGCCTGACATGATTCTCTGAGAAAGGATTTGACAACAACAAAGTGTTGCCGTATGTGTTGTCTCATCCCCTCAATAGTCCTGTGAGGTATGTGAGACAGGTGTTACTCTCTCCACTTGGCAAATAGGGAAAAGAGGGCCCAGAGAAGTGAAGCTGCTTTCCCAGGACCACACAGCTGGTAAACAGTGTCCATCTCAGCTGTTCTGTCTCCCACACCAAATACCCTGTGCACCACGCAAACACAAAGACAACTGGACAACCAAGTCATCTAATGAGTATGCATGCTATGGTCTCTCTCATTTTGTCTTTCAGGGCTATACCCTAGGAGAGCTAATCATTCTTGGTTAGATAAGAAATAGCCAACACTTCTGCAGCATGGTAGGCCAAATACCACCAGAATAAACTCAGACCCAAAGAGATGCTCAGAATGTGTGGAGTTAATACTTCACTATACAGCTCTAAGGTATAAGCCTTGTCCATCTGTCACATTATGACATGTGCTTGCTCCCACCTCAATTCCTGATTCCACATTACAACAAATACAATTTCAGG
Organism: Homo sapiens; assembly: GCF_000001405.40. Lineage (NCBI taxonomy): Eukaryota > Metazoa > Chordata > Mammalia > Primates > Hominidae > Homo > Homo sapiens. Next base: position 70,093,015 of record NC_000014.9, on the reverse strand, counting down.
CTTTGAACTAACAATGCCAATGTTTCTGAAGCCCATATTAAATGCCAAAATCTGAGTCAGCTACTGGAGGTAGAGACATGAATAAGATGGTCCATATTATTTTAGAGGATTCTTTGGTTGCAAAGGGCAGACACCCAGCTTGAATTCACTTTGGAGAAATTGGGATTTTTTTGGCTTGCATAAGCAAAGCATGAGAAAGAAAGTTCCAGGGATGATGAAAACCAGGAATGCAAATGTCTCCAGAATTCTTTCTTTTTTCTTTTAGGCCATCTTTTTTCTCTCAAACTGGTTCCCTCCACTGGGCTGGAGACATTACTACCAGCAGCACTCAGACCCACATCTTCAGTTTAAATGTTGGAAATGGACTGTCAGAGAACATTTAGGCCATTCATTCTGTGGGAGAGATAGGCTATGTAAAAAGATAGCCACTCCCATGTGAACAATGTGGTTAGGATTAGAGGCATGAATATACCCCAAACCAGGGGTGTGGGAAGGAGGTTGACACTCTAGGTGATAATACCCAGACCTTAAGGAGCTTTCTGTCTAGAGGGAGGTATGGACATGGACAAGTAATCAACAGCTACAAAGCAGAGCTGCCAGCTCTGCAACACAAGAGCCCTGAGAGGCATGACAGGGGCAGGGTGGGGATCCATGTGGGTCTGGATTGAAGTGAGGAGGGGCATCAGGAAAGCATTCCAGGAGAGCTGAGGGACACTTGAGCACACCCTCAAAGAATGACTGGGGGTCATGAGGTATACAAGGGAGGAAGTGCACCCGAGACAGAAACAATCACATAAGCAAAAATGCAGAAGAATATGAGGATCTGGGAAGGGCAAGTAGCTCAGTAGTGTTGGAGGCCAAGGGACACGAAGGAAGGTGATAAAGCCCTGATGTTAAGGATAGAAAAATCAAAGTCCTTTGAAAATCATGTGGAGTTAGGATCTCAAGAACCCTACAAGGATTTCTTTAGAATAGAATCAAAGAAAAACAAAGTTTACAGTCTGTGAGGGTTGCATAGGAAGTAACGTGGTGAGAAATGTTGGCTTGAGAACCACATATCCATAACACAATGGTGTTTTAGAGGATTTGGGGGAAGGGAGAGAAAATCTCAAATTGTCTCAGTAACTAATGAGCTTTCATGTACATTTAAAATAGTAATAAATGCAATTGTGAGGATGATGGTGAGATGAGCAAAATAATCCAGTTTGTAATTGTAGTTATCAGGCTGGCATATCCTGCAGGTCACACTTCTAAACATGACTTCGAAAAATCAAAGATCAGCTAAGTTTGAAGTAAGTATTGAAAGAGGGAGATTATGTTGCCTCAAGTTAAAATAGAACGTAAAAGATGGTGATTCAAATGATCAAAAGCACCAAGCTTCCCTGTTAGGATTCAAGGGAGGGGTGCGTGGCTCCGACACCAGATATCTGCAAAGCAATATGAAATGAGATCAATAGTAGACATTGAAAGATTGAAACTGATATAGGATATTCAAGTACCAGCTTCAAGAAAATGAAATGAGACCTAATAAAAGAGAGTAGGAGTCAAGGGGGTATACGATATTAAAGAAAGTGAAGAGCCAGGGTTTGTAGGAAGGAAGGGAGAAGAGGCAAAGAGAGCAGCTCTTTTAACACAGGAGCTTCCTCCTTTCCCATTCTCCCTCCTGCTAAAAGCCGAGTTTGTTTTAGCTGAAATGATTGTAAGACAAATTTTTGTTATTAAAAAAGGAGCTATTTTGTGTTGGTTTCCATTATAAAATCAGAGCTCTGCTGCCATAAAATTAAATCCCATAATAAAATGAGTAGAAAACGTGATGTCCTGCAGAAAGGAAGATGGCAGCCCACTCAGTGCCATGCTGGGCTTGACTATATACAAGCCGTGCATCTCCTGCTGCGAGTTGTAGCTGCTGCCCAGCAGTGCACATTATCGTTGCAGCTGTTTTCCTCACATTCTGAGGTTTATGAAATCCCTCATCCATCAATAATTGATCTTTAGCTCTTAGTCCAGGGGTTGTCAACTGGCACTCCATGGACCTTTAGAGGATTGATGGCTAGGTTTTCAAAGATCTTTGAACCCCCTGAAATTATATACAAAATATTGTGTGTGAGTATGTGCATTTTTCTGGTAAGAAGCACCTGAATTATCGAAGCAGTTTGTGATCCCCCAAAAAGCTAAGAACTACTTCCTAGAGCAAAGGGAGATTTTGCTACACTTAGAGATTTACACATTTGACCAGGGCAGCTCACACAAGTGGGATGCGGTTTCACATTTCATGGCAGATCTGCTTCCAGCTATACAAATTCATCAAGGAAATATTGTAATACTTCTATATGAATCAGGAATTCACTATATTTAACTTATTTGGAATAAGAACCACTATATATATACAAGTTTTTCCAAAAGACTGAAGGTTCTTCCTGTGGCAGGAAGGAATATGATTAGATTCATGAAGCGCCTTTATGTTTATATTTCAACTCTGAAAGATAATTGTGACTTTACTAAATCAAACCTGTATACCACGATTAGGAAAATGTGGACTGATTTGGGGTTCTAGGGGTAAAATGTGACCCCTGTGAAGTACCAATGCACCGTTCTTTTATCTGTGAACGGGCACTGAGCTTCTGAAATTAATTAGTAGGCAGGAGGACATGCGCATATGACGTGATAGTTTAAGTACTGATAATTATTCACTTGGAAGGGAAGAGAATAAAATTCAGAACACAGTATTCCTTAATGGGAAATCAACTTAGAGGAGGTAGGAGGGAGATCAAGCAAGAATATTTCTGGTAAAACATGCATAAATCAATGGTCAGCCAATGTGTTGATCAAAGAAATTATCTTTCGGGGAAAACAGTAGAAGGCAATTGAAAAACAAGCATCAGGCTGCATAAAAACAGCAAACAAAAGTCACAATGGCTTGATTGTGTGATGAGGTAATTAATGGCTGCAGTTAGCAAAATATGTTAAAAAAAAAGACAGAAAGGGTAGTTACAGGAGAAAAACATCCCCGCAGATCTTCAAAATCAGAAACAATGAAAATAATTATTTCAAAAATTAAGAAAAAAACTCTCTAATTTATACCTGAATTACCTGGATAATTGGTAAAATTTCCTGCGTATACAAATCTTGGTCCTCTGCTCCTCTCTCTATAAATAAATAGAAATGTATGAATCAATAGTCAGCCAATGTGTTGATCAAAGAAATTATCTTTTGGGGGAAAATTGGTAGAAGCCAATTAAAAAACAAGCATCATATTGCATGAAAACAGCAAACGGAAGTCACAATGGCTCGACGGTGTAATGAAGCCACACAATATGTATTAAACACATCATCTACACAGATGGATTCAAAGATACCTTCTTTGTGTCTAAGTCCCAAATCTGTGTTTCCTGGCTCTGTTCCCTCATATCTAGTCATTCTCCAAGTCAGCATGCCCAACTTGAAAGTGTCATTTTCAAAACCTGCTTCTTCTCTTCTGGAAGTTCTTCCTCTGCCCATTGCTCCACAATCCCCACCTCTTTCACCCAGTAGCAAACCTTAAATTTATCTTTTACTTTGTCTTACTTCCCCTTCTTATATTCAAAATGTTTCTCACTTGCATCTCTTTTCATTCATTTCATAAGCATTTATGAGCTCCTGTTATGGTTTGGAAACTGTTCTTCATGCTGGAGGTGGTCTTATAAACAAGTAATTTCAATTGAGTATTTAGTATGTTAAGTGCCATCCCAAAGGCAAACACCAGCTGTGGGAGGCTCCCCAAATCAGTCTAAGGAAGTTGGGAAAAGCATCTCAGAGAAGATGGTGTCTGAGATGGGGAGGATGTGTGGAACTGGGCAAGGAAGAGAACAAGTAACAACATTCTAGAAAAAGGCCTCTTTCAGCATGCTAAGAAGTTTGGAGGACAGAGGAGTTACCATTCAAAATTTGGAGGGAAGGAAGAGCATACTGAGGTTTGCCACTTGAACAGATAACTTCAGCTGTGTTGGGTGAGTGAAGTTGAGTGGGTACAAATCAGGTCAGGAATATAAGTTAGGAGACTGTTACTAGAATCCAGGCCAGAGGTGATGGTGGCCAATATATGAGAGTTTTAGCAGGGAATGAAAAAAAGAAAATGTGTTCATGAGGTAGAAGTAGGTAAAAAGAACAGGATCTGGTTCCTGATTGGAAATGGGGGTAGTCTGGAGAGGAAGCCAGAATGCAGGCAAGAATGCATAGTGGTACCATCCACTGACATAGGGATTAAAGGAGGAGAAGAAGCTTTGGTAAAGAAAATAAGAAGTTCAGCTATGGAATGTTTGAATTTGATTTCTCTGATGAGGAGTAGTTCTAGGTGATGATAATGCTCAGGGTGTAGACTTGAGAGTGGATGGGTAAAGTAAAGGTTGAGGCTATTAAAAGGGAAAAGGTCAAGGAACTGAGGGCCAAGGATTTATAATAAGTTATCTTGGGCCACTAAAGCCACGCAGGATGCTGGCAGGAAACCTATGAGCCAGGTCTTCAATGTTGAGTCCAGTGACTCAGGTGTCAGAAGCAGCAGGAGAAGCATTGATAGCCTGATGGGGAAGGAGCCGTTACCTGAGAGTAGCAGAGAGAGTTATCCTAGCTGACACAGCTCTCAGGGATTTGCTTCTAAAGCAATCCTTAGGAAAGAAAGAGCAGTATCCACAGGAGACTGGTGGGCACTGGCTTCCCCAGAAAACCTACCTAGATGAATTCTATTCTCAAGGGACTCCTATTTAGATAAGGGGCTTTGTTAGTTCTCAGAGCAACACCAAACAGATGTATATCTCATTACTTGCCCCCACAACCTTTCTGCTCTGGCCACATGGGCCTACCCACTGTCTGCTAAATGCACTTCATATTTTCTTGTTTCAGTGCCTCAGTATTCATAATCTTCTTTTCCTAATCTCTGCCCCTCACTTACCTGAATCTTTTGTATTCTCAATGACCTGCTCCATCCCAGCCCTTTCAAGAACCTTTAATACCTACCAAGTGAATACTCTCTCCATTGATTACACACTTCCTGTAGCACCTGTTCTATAATTATGAAATATTACCTATTGTACACATATATTTCAATCTCTTGGTGGACAGAGAATCCAATTTATGCCTTGTCAATTTGTAGCACATTTCCTTGCATATGTAGATGCACCATGAATATTTAGAGAACTTGTTAGTTAATTTCCTGTTTAACATGGGCTGCAAAGTTCTGGTCCATGCACGTCTTTTATAAAATAGAAATGACGGATGGTGCATGGAGCTTAAATTCCATGAAGCAGAAACATATGAGAGATGGAGCTGAATTTGTTTGCCTGTACAGCTCTTACAGCAATTGCTTCCAATTTGTTTGATTTACCTAAGAGCTAAAATTGTAAATGGCAGCTCAAATGATTTTTCTGTACATTCAGAAAATGAGTTTGAATATTTGTTGGAGAGTAACTGCTTAAGACATGAAAAAGGGGGAGATTATAGCTTTTAACTCTTTTTTATGGCAGAGCATTAAGGAAAAAAAAGTGCAGATAAATGAGATCAAATGGCAAGTGTCTGAACCTGCTGGACACAAGTCCCGGTAGCCATTGATAGACAGTGTTTATATGACTTCTGGGCCATCAATAGATAGATAAGGTACATCAGCGGCCAATGTTCCAGGAAGTTTGAGAAGATAAATGGAAGTTGCACAGCAGCCTAAGAGCTTCCTTAGGAGGGCTGTGCTCCTCCAGAGCGCCATCTGTCTGTGTCTTCCTGTTCTTCTTCTTCACATTAAATGCTTTTCCTTTTCTCATTTTTATGATGGTTATCCTAAAGATATGCTAGCCTGGACTTTGACAAGGACATCTGGAGATAAGAAAGATTCTGAATTATTTTTCCCTTTGGGCAATTGTAGCAATTTTAAAACTATGTTAGATGGCTAGAGATTCTTGAGAATATTTCTTTTCTTGGAAAATCATAAGGCTTTGGATAGTGGTACCTATAGAAGCTGACATCAGCAGCAGCCTGCCTCCAGTCGATCAGGGCCTTTGGAACTTCACGGGGCTCCTCTACTGACAGCCCCATCGGTTTCCCTCCAGCACACGTAACTCAGCATTGACTCTGGGTAGTAGAGGGTGGTTTATGGAATCTGATTCATCTCAGAAAGAGGTGGATGCAAACACATTCCCAGAGCAGAAGGCTTGGCATGTCTGGTCTTAGGCAGAGGGAACTGGAGATACTTGTCCTATTGTTCTTGAGATTCCAGCAAAAATAGCCCATTACAGAGGAAGAAGATATCAGGTCAAATGAAGGCTTTGGTGCTACAACATTGTCTTAGAAAAAAAAAGAAAGAAATTGGCCAAGTGCAGTGGCTCAGCACTTTGGGAGGCTGAGGGGGGCAGACCACTTGAGATCAGGAGTTCGAGACCAGCCTGGCCAACATGGCGAAACTCCGTCTCTACCAAAAAGTATTAAAAAATAGCCGAGTGTGGTGGCGGGCTCCTGTAATCCCAGCTACTCGGGAGGCTGAGGCCGGAGAATCACTTGAACCTGGGAGGCGGAGGTTGCAGTGAGCCAAGATCGTGCCATTGCACTCCAGCCTGGGCAACAGAGTGAGACTCCATCTCAAAAAAAAAAAAAAAAAAGAAAAAAGAAAAAGAAAAAAGAAAAGAAAGAAATTAAATTAAAAAAATTGTTTTTTAAACAAAGGAAGGCTTTGGGCTTGGAGTCCAACTAAGCTAGGCTGGAATCCCGGTTTCATCTCGCTTCTCTGTGCAACTTTGGATTTTACTGAATCTCTCTTATTCTCAATTCCCTCCTCTGTAAAATGAAGATAATGCTAGTACCTGTCTCATCAAGTTGAAGGAGACTTAAATGAGATGTGTTGAAAGCATTTAGCATAGTATGTGGCACATAAAGAACACTCAATAAATGCTGGCTATAAAGAAGCCAGAGAGAGACTCGGAGGTGATGAGAGAGGCCACAATTCCCTCCATTTCATTGAAAAGCAATTTTTATTATCTCATTTGAAAGGCAGTATAGTATAGTGGTTAAGGACATGCACTATGGAGCTAGACCTCCTCAGTTCACTTTCTGTCTCTATCATTTATTAGCTGTGACTTAACCTTCTTGTGCCTCAGTTTTTATCATTTTTGAGAGAGGAGTAATAATAGTTCCTACTCTGGTGTGTTGTGGAGATTTGATGAGTTAATACATATAAAGCACACATAGTAGTGCCTGGAGCATATTAAATGACATGTAAGTATTAGCTGTTATTTTATTAAACAACATGTGGCATAGGACATATTGGAACTTTGAAGTCTTTGAGGCTCTTCCCAGTTTCATAAATCAGAGACTACAGTATAAATATCTGCTTACATGTCTGCTTTCCCCATTGGACTGCGAAATCTTGAAACTGTTTTATTCATCTCTGCATAGTGTTGGCATCGTATTATGATACCTGACATTTACCAGGTGCCAAATGGGACTGGGCATGTTGTAGGGATTCAGTCAATGTGGGTCATTGCAGGCGGGGAGGTGGGTCGGGTTAAAGGTAAGAGAAGGGCCTTGGGGCATCACATTAAGTAGTTACCAGATTGAACTGCAAACATTGCTATCCAGGAGAAATCAGGTCAATATTTCACCTTCATGGCAATACCAGTACAGTCCAAGGAGAATGCATAGAAGGAAAGAAATCATAATCTGATTGTATGTGTTTTTTTAGTAGTAAATAATAATAATTATTACTATTCCTATATAATTTTGTGTGTTGGTGTGTTTTGTTTTGTTGTGCATGAAAAATGGGGTGCTAATCTATTCCCCTTCCCAACACCAGTGCTCAGAAGAAATTTCCACAGATAGAGAATCTATAGGTTATGAATTTGGCCTTGATGGATTCTGGGTCACTATTTCTCAATGTTTGTCCATGTCATGTGAAGCTCTTAAGATAAAGAACAATGTCTTACTCGTCTTTTTAACTTCTTTACCCCCTAATGCCTATCACATACTTTGCCCATGGAAACTCAATAGACATTTGTAAATGGAATTTAATTTCTGAGGTCCAGTAAAGCCTTTTTCCATCCTTCCCCTACTACACAGTTTGTCTAACCATGTCTTCCCTTCCATCATCCACCTTATAAACGTTATTACTCATTCTTCCATCACATTCTTGACACCTCCCATGTCCAATGTCAAACAAGTACCATTTGGGAAACAGAATTCTAGGAATCTGGAGACCTAGAGCTCTTCAGACCCTGAAATCCAGTTTTCTGAGCTGAGACAGTTTCTTAATTTCTCACTCCAACTCCGTTTCTCCTCTTTCTCAATGGATATTTTCCAAGTCTCCATTAGGCATATAGCAATTCCAGAAAACATTCAATTTTCCCTTCTCTTAATGTCATGCTCCAAAACACCACATTCCCTCTAGACATTGAGCATTGGAGAGAGATGGAAAAGTACTTTGAAAATGTGTGCATGTGAGAAAAATGCTAAGTGTTCTGTCTGGTCACTTCAATGACAAGTTTGCTACTTTAGAAACTTGACTAAACAGAGTGTGAGGAAAAACATGAAAAGAAAAAAATGTGTTCAGCTTGGCTGAATAATGACCAGCAGGGTGAAAAGATAAGATAACCACCCGCTCACAGGATTTCTATCCTCAAGCCCCAGAAGGTTGACAACAGCAGACACTGAAACTACTCTTAATGGAGGGTGTGCTAAAGAAGCAACATTATAGCCGCTTTTAGGAAAGCAAATAGGAAAGTTGGTGAAATAGAGAAGATGCCTAAGCATGTGAGATACCACCTCCATCTTGGAAAATAACCAAGGTGATACAATGTTATGCAGGACCCCTTAATTAAAACAGATTTAGTGATTAATATCAGGAGCATTGTCAAGAATCACAACAACAGCAATTAGTTACTATTGAGCAATTTCTGCTAAGTAATTTGCAGGAGGGCATCTCACTTAATTATCACATCCTTTTATAGATGAGAATATAGAGGCTTAAAAAGGTGCTTTTCCCAATGTTATTCAGCTATAAGTGGTCAGTCATGACTCAAACATAGGTCAACCTGACAACAAGATCTTCACTCTTAACTTCTCTTCTGTGTTGTAATACCCTTGATCCATGGAAATGGACCATCTTCATATACTGCTTTTTTGCCTCCGGAATGTCCAGGTATGGATTGGGTAATGCTCAAAGACAGAGAGGAATAGAGTATTAAAAAGATCCCTGGCCTCATTTTCTGAAGACATGAGCCTAAGCTGAGCTGTACCATTTACCATCTATGTGAACTTGGGCAGATTTTTTGACACTGCTGGGTCTCAATTCCTGTAACTGTCAAGTGGAAGTGAGCCTAACTGCATAGACTTCACTGGGCTGTTAAGAGAATAAAATGAAATAACTGTAAACAGAAGTGCCTAGTGCACATGCAAAGGATTATTGGGGCTTTCTACCCTTCAGGGATTAGAAGTTGATAGTAGGCAACAAGTTATAAGAAATACAGTCAATTGTCTGCTGACCAGGGCTAGAGTTAATTGTCTCTGGAAAAAAGGACTTGCCTCTCTTTCTCTTCTTCCTCCAAAACTTAAGACGTTTGCAGCTGAATCCCCAACAGGATTTTGTTTTCCTTTGGGAGAGAGGAAACAGACCAATATACCCCCAAAACTAACCCCATAATTTCATTTCAGCAGTAAAGTGAGGTCCTTGATAACTGCCCTGCCCAACCTGCAGGGTGGTTGGGAAACTCTGAATGGTCATGCATGGGGAAGCATTTTGTCCACTGTAAAGAGCTCTCCGGAGATGATAAATCTCATCAGAAGGCTTCATGCTTGAGGCATGGATTCTTGGAAAAACAATCACTCTACGTATGTGGTCAGAATCTAAAGGAGATGCTGGGGAGAGGAGCTAGGTCAGTCTCCAAAGTGGAACAGTAGAAACTAATCATGTGGAGCCTAAACTTATGAAGGTTTTTAAAATCAGAATTGGCCACCTTCCTTTGGACCATGAGCTCAGATTGTGAGGTGTGACTAGGTCACGTCTCCTTCCTGCCCCTGTTTCCCTCCTCTCCCTACCTGTCCCTCCTTGACCCCAGGAAAAATTGCCGGGATATGAAAGTTAATTATGACCCAAGGGAATTGGTACAGATGGGGAAGAAAGAAATGCATTCAAGAGCATTTCCATCAGTATTGAAATTACACAGAAGGCTGGTGAATTTGGGCTATCCATTCTTGCCTCCCTCTGTGCCCATAATTCCTTGGCCTCCTTCAATTTCATTTTCCCTTTGGTTCAGAGGAATGCTTGATGGCTTAAGCTAGCCTCAGTTGGCCAAGCATTGGAGAAACAGAGAGGTGTATGACACAGCTACACTCCCATGGGGCTTACAGGGCAAGGTGAGAGAAGACAGAAGTTGTATGTGCTGGGTGCCACGTGGTAGCTACAAACTAGAAATGAGACCAGGTTCGGAAGAGGAAGAGGGCTTGCAGACCTGAGTCATGGGGACAGTTTCTTCAGGAAATGGGATCTCAGCTCTGCCTTGTATGCAGGGCTTACATAATAAATATGTTTCATTGTTGTTGTTGTTATTGTTGATTTAATAAGATTTTGTTTTAAGAAGATTTTGTAAAAACAACTGAACAAATGCAATCTCCTGCCAGAGCAGGCAGCAGCAAAGGAGATTAGGAATATAACCCCCTTGGAGACGTTCCTTCACCTACCTGGTGCTGGATTACCTAAAAGCTTCAGCTAAGTAGGGTCACCCCCCCAAGAAATTATTTTAAAAAAATTGAAATCTGATATTTTTAGAAAATCTTATCAAGGATATTTAATTGGACTATTTACACCTATTTAGGGTCAGTCGGTTTTGGACAAGTATGCAGGGGTCTTGGAATCAGACCACTGGGGTCAAATCCTAGTTCTGTCACTTCCTAGCTGGGTGACCTTGGACAAAGTTACCTGACTTCTAATAGCTTCAGATTCCTCATGGGCAAAATAGAAATGCTACTAGTACTTAATAGTGCTCTGAGAAGGATTCAATGAGAAGGATTAAATGTATGTAAAGCACAGTGTTTGCCCATAGGAAGCTGTTATTTATAAGGGAGGGGAGCATCCTAAGGTCCTCCGAATTTAGGAGAACTAAAAATCTTACACTGACTTCTCCCTTCAACAGCACCTTCAGAATCTCCTTCATTTTTCATACTGTTCTTTCAACCCTTTGATGAATGAGAAATTAGGCATTCTTTCCCTGCAGATTTTCCCAAACCTTCTGCTTTGGCCAATAAACATATTTTTAGTCCCAATCTTGCATGCTCCTTTGGGACTTTTCATCTGATAAACATCCCCTCCTGTGCTCTTGAATCCAATACCCTTCTTCCCTGCCCTCCACCCAGAGTCTCCTTGTATCTGCTGTTAGGCACAATGATGACCCCACCAAGGTCAGACAATGGCTGTGGCCTCACCTGGACCTTGATGACCCACATAGCCTAGAGCCCAGGGATCAGCCACTGATGGAGGCCCAGAGGGCAGTTGGAAAACTTCACAAGACAATCCAGCCTGATTGTTTTGACATGCCTGACTTCAGGCTGCTAAAAATGAGCTCGAGGAATCAGATAGGAAAAAGAGATAGGTGATGCAATTTTATTCCATCTCCCAATTTTCTGAGTCAAGAGTTGTTTGTTTAACTCCAGTTAAATTAGTATTTATCCAAATTTCCTGGGTGCTTGTCCAAAGAAAAGTACCCCAGATCTACAAATTAGAATCTGGGACTGGGACTTAGGAATTGGCACTTTTACAATTATACCAGATGTTTCTAATATGGGTACTTCAACCACTACCCTTATAGAAGTGCTGCCTAGGACCCTCTCTTCTGGCAGGTGAAGTGGAAGGAGGTTTTGTCGAAGGGAGATTCTCCACTTCAACTTGAGTGTCTCGGCTTGTATCCGCTTTGTTTGGTTCTATTTCACCAAAGGCTTTCATCTTCACATAAATTTTCTTCAGCTTTAAATAATTAGTTTTGGTAACCATTGGTATACTGGAAAGAACATTAGATTTGGAGTCCAGGTGGCTTGAGTTCAATTCTCTGCTCTGCCATTTACCAGCTGTGTGACATTGGGCAAGTTGCCAACCTATCTATGTCATTTCCTCATGTAAAGATAATCCCACTTCACCAGGCCACTTTTGAGGACCCAGTGAAATGATGTGTAACCATTTTAGGAACACTGGATCATTCTACAGTGCAATTTTTTACATCAGCTTGGAGCCTACCATGTAGGCATTCAAATCCACTGAGTGTATGGAGCTCCGTGCACAAATAAAAGGACTTCTCTTTTCTGCCCGTGTACAACTTTGGTTTCCTTAATCAATAGAATCCATGACAATCCTGGGCCATGGTATAAAGATGGGACTTTCTTCCTGTGAAGGAGTCTGGTCTGAACATCTTCCAAACTCCAACATAACTGATGTCATTTCTCCACCCAACCCCATTTGCTGTCTCCTGACTCAATTGCTAGAGAAGCCACTTAAGGAAGGTTCCTGGAGTTAAGGCTGTGTCTGGGCCAGTGTAGCGAGCAGTTTTCAACAGTCAGTCCTCTTTATCTTCTCTTTTCCTGCGAGCCTTTACTAAGCACTGCCTCCTCCTGTCTCCTTACTGCATCTCCTGATGGAATGCACAGGTAAATCTCCTTGGAGAGTACCAGCCAGGAACAGTCCACAGCCAAGGCCACCGATCCTCACCGCTGAGCTCCATCTTTCCTTTCAAGCTGTCCTTCCCCTCCCCTCCCCACCATCACCATAGCAACACAGTGGTATAAAAAAATGAAAGCGCTAAGGCATCTAAATATAGTCTGAGTATCAACTCTTCCAGCATGGAGCCGAAAACCTAGGGAATGACAGCTAGAGGCATCCAGACGATAACTGGCAGCCAGGAGGGTGGATAAGTCAAAGGAAGGGGTCAAGGAAAGAGGGGAAGGAAAGGGAACCATCACTTGCTGAGCCTGCTGCCTGTGCTTTCTCATGTCACCCGCACGACAACCCAATGTGAATGTTATCATCTCCAGGTAACTGCTGAAGAAACGGAAGCTCAAAGAGGTAAGAGATTTGGCCAAGGTCACACAGCTATAAGCAGTAGAACTAAGATTTTAACTCAAGTTTCTATGGCCCCAGAGTTTATGTGTTTCTCTCTCCATACCACAGGGACAGGTGCAAGTGAGAGATTTTGCTGGAAGCACTGGGCTTTTTGAGCAGGCCATATAAAAATTCTGAGCCCAGAGCTCAACTAAATTATTGGAAGAGACTGGGCCAAATATAAGGCTTCTATCTAAGCAGCACCTGTGTTTCTCAAGGACTGAGGAAAATGAAGGGGGAGGGTTGGCAAGGCTGCATTTCCCAGGGTGCGTGATTATATGGCATGGGGGTGGGGGCCATTATGATGCCCGGACATGGAACTTACACCAGTGCAGAAAGGGTGTGATTAGAAGCCCTAAGCCAGAGAATGTTCAGTGTGATAAATGCCATTATTTTTTCCCTCATTCATTCAATAGATTTTTTTTTTAGATGGAGTCTCACTCTGTCGCCCAGGCTGGAGTGCAGTGGCACCATCTCAGCTCACGGTAACCTCTGCCTCCTGGGTTCAAGCAATTCTTGTGGTCCAGCTTCCTGAGTAGCTGGGATTACAGATGTGCACCACCACGCCTGGCTGATTTTTTTTTTTTTTTTTTTTTTTGTATTTTTTAGTAGAGACAGGGTTTCACCATGTTGGCCAGGCTGGTCTCGAACTCCTGACCCCAAGTGATCCACCCACCTCCACATCCCAAAGTGCTGTGGTTACAGGTGTGAGCTACCGTGCCTAGCCTCATTCAACAGATATTTTTATTAAGCATCTGATGTGTGCTTAACTCTGGAAATATAGGGGTGATTAGAACAAATGCAGCTCCTGCCCTTGTAGAGCTTATTAGGATAGTGGAGAAGACAAATAAGGAAACAATTATACAATTGATTGATTCTTTACAACTGTAACATGTACTATAAGTACATAACAGAAGAATATCACTTGCCTGATGACTTCAGTGAAAGGGAAATACAGAAGTTCTTACAAATCAAAGCAATCCCCTGGGCCAATTGTAAAGGTGATGCCCACTTTCAAGGTGGACAGAGACTGTGCTAGAAGCTTAGCCTCAACCATGGGTTTATATGATTGGTAGACCCTGCAGATCCATTCCCAATGGTGTATCTTCATACTAATCATGAAATCCATCTAATAGCCATACAAGTGAGGTTTTAAAACCCAACAAACTAGACTCAAATGAAATCTGATGAGGGAATTTATGATTTGTTCTTCCTACAGCCTTTGGTATCACTGACATAAAACTGAATGTATGTGCTGAGGGTGCTTGTGTCTTGGTGATAGACAAGGTAGGTGGTCCAGCCCATGGTACTGGCAGCTTAAAGTCAGCCAGCCATCAGTGGGAAGTGCCTGTGAATTATGCAGGAGTGGGAGGGGAGGGAGTAGGCAGTAAAGTAATGCATTTCTGTGGATCCAAAGCTTTCCAAACTACCTGCAAGTCAGCAAATATGGGGGATGTTGTATGACTAAGTGAGAATCAGATAATATAATGTGTATGGAGCTCTTTAGTTCTTCAGAAAAAAATGCTGTCTAAACAAATAGTGCTGATATCAAAGATAATGATACAGTACCCTAATTTTAATGCTCTGCTACCTACCTGCCAGCTGTTTCCCAGGGATGTGGTAAAGATGAATGGGCAAGATCTGGGAAAGTGTTTTGAAATCCTTGATTAAAGGCCCTCCAGGCAGATGTAGAATTTTAAATGTGTTATATTACTGCCACTATTGTTATGCTTTCTTTTATCACCCCAGAATTTCACCATCTCCTGTTTCAGGTGAACGAGTCTGCCTGACTCTTACCTGCCCTGAATGGCATTGGAAAGGTAGCAGCCCTGAGATGTGCCATATAAACAAACATGTTTTTAACCAAGGGATCAGGAGGCCTTCCTGGCTGGCTCCTGTCAGCTGGTCATCACCTCTCTATAACTCTAGGCTTTCCCAAGCTTATTTTATTTCCATCAATAGGACAGGAATATGTAAATGTCCTGCTTGAAATGAGTATTGGCTACAAGCCATCTGCCTCTGAACAGAGGTGAAAAGTGGAAATCGGAGGAAGGGCAGATGTCTTTTGCAAGGGAAACAGACTGTTTTCTGCCACTGCACTCTGCCCAGGCAAAAGAGTAAAGGAACAGCACTCAGGAGAATTCACTGAAGCGAGGGCAGAGTGCAAAAGGAACTTGAGAAATTGGTACTGGGACCCAAAATCAGATTCTGGCATTTCTGGGAAAAGAAATGGGCATGGGTGGGGGTTTTATCTGTCAATAAAAGCATCCAGAATGGGGCTAGAAGGAAGTAAATTCAGTTGCCACCTCTGCCTACTGGACAGCCACGGAGAACTTCTCCTTATCCAAGGTCGAGGAGCCCTCCGGAGTACATACTGATACCATTGGTTCTCCCACACATACCCCCATGGAGATAAAAACAGGACCCTGGAAGCCCTGTCCGTGTTTAACCAATGGGATTGAAACATGGAAATGAACTGCCCCACAATCCACCCTGTGAGAGACCAAAGAGCAGTGTTGGATTAACAGGGAATGTTACCCTGAAAAGGCATTCAGCTTCCACTGGGGCAGCAGGTACAGTGCAAAGATGATCCCACTTAAATTCCTAAGACAGGAAATAAGGAAAGATGTTGTGGAAACTCAAGACCTCTCAAAGCATACTCCTTTGTAGTTCTTCCGCAGACCAGACCACGGAATTCAGAAAACACCCTACCTGGTTCCAAACCAGCACCTGCCAAACTTCTCACCCTCTTCTGACCCTGTCCTGGGAGTTAAGAAAAAAAAAATCACTTTATTGGTTGCTCCAGTTATAACTTAAACAGACAGACCATCATCAAATTAAGTGACATGTACGACTGCTTATTGTATGCCAGTTACTGTGCTGTGGGGTTTTGGTTCCATTATCTCATTTAATCCTCTCAAAAACCCTGTTAGGTAGGTTTTATTATTGCACTCATCTTAGATTAAGGAAACTGAGGCTCATAGAGATTCGGTAATTTGTCAAAAGCCCTAAAACATAATTACTGCCTCCAGACGTCTCTGATTCTAAGGCCCAGGCTCTTAATCAGTAAATGATCAAATGAATAATGATTTTCATGGCATCTGTCATCGGAAAGAACAATGGAGAATATGCTTAACCAAAGTCATAACCAAATAAATGAACTTGACAGCAGAGCCGTGATTCTAGCCAAGATGACTATTTTCATGCATGTTTTGAAGGCCAGGAAAAGGAGGTTAGACTTGTTTGGGAAGGGAAACAGGAGCTATCAAGGTGAACTTTTCCTAAGAGTAGCCCAATAATAGTGCTCGGGAGGGAGTAATGTGTGCAAGAATAGAGTCAGGGAGACCAGCCAAGTGTGTGCCTCAGCATCCCTAGCACAAATCACACACTAAGCATTAAGATTGTCTCTGCAGTGAGAAAGGCCTGGGACCAAATTTGGGCTCCACCACTTACTGGTATTCATTAATCATTCATGCATTCATTCAACAAATATATATTGCGTGTGGTCTATGTGCCAGAGACTGTGCTGGGTGCTGGCAAAGAACACAGACAAGGTTCCTGCTCTCATGGAGCTTTTATTCTGATGAAGGAAACAGACCACTTACAGATAAATAAATAAACAAGATAAAGGGAAACAGATATGATGGAGAGTAGCTGGAGGGCCAAGCAGACCGGGCAGACAAGGTGGTGGCATGTAAGCTAAGACATTTAAAAAGAACCTGGTCATGAGACTATCTGGAGAAGGAAAGCTCCAGGCAGAGGAAGCAGGTAGTGCAGAGGCCCTGAGGCAGGAATGAGGACAAGATATTTGAGAAAACAGAACAAAGGCAGGCATGACCAGGCCGAGTGGGTGGTGGAAAAGTAGTAGAAGGTGAGTGGGGGAGTGGGGGCATCAAGGTCAGGCTTTGCAGGCTTGATCAGCGTTCTCACTGTGGTTCTGGAGCCAGCAGCATCAATGTTACCTGGGAACTTGTTAGGAATGCAAATTCTCAGGCCCCACCCAGACCTGCTGAGTCACAAACTCTGGGATGGGGCACCTCATTGTGTTTTATCGAGCCCTCCAGATGATTCCGAGTATGCTAAAGTTTCAGAATTCCTAGGTTGGATTATGCAGTTCAATTTTAATTTTAAATGCAATGGGAACCTATGAAAGATTTAAGTAGGGGAGCAGCATGTTATAATTTTCTTTAAAAAATTGTTTTTAAGCACTCCTGCTGAGGAGAGAATGGACCATAACAGGCTAAGAGAAATGGAAGCAGGGAGATAAATTAGGTGGTTATTGCAAGAGGCCAGGTAAGAAGAGAAAGTGGTTTAAGTAGGGTGGTGTGGCAGAGAAGACGGTTCCAAGCAGAGGGGGACCACGCTGACAAATAAGCGCGGGCCACTCACGCAAGCCCAACAAGGCAGAAGGCAGAAGGCAAAAGTGAAGGCCAGAGAAAACTGGACACCACCTTTCCAGAGCACAGTTCAAAGGCAATGTCCTCAAAGAAGACACTCCACCCTCCTCCCATTTCCTCCCTATTGCCTAAAAATAAGAAGGATACGCGGCCTATGGCAAACCTTGGGCAGGCACGTGGGAGCTGAGCTCTTGCAAAGGGCAGATAGTTCCTCTGGTGAGAGAGAAAAGGAAGGGCCAGTGAGGAGTGAAGGAAGAGACGAACAGAGAGCCCGAAAGGCTGAGAACGTTGTCTGGCTTCCTGAAAGGCTTAAGGGGTTAGCTCTGGAGGGTGAACTAAAAGCCCTAGTTATATTAAACACACACGCACACACGCACGCACACACATGCGCGCACACACACACACACATACACACAGTTGAAGGAGACCTGCAGTTTCCAAAAACAAGAGTTGTATTTTTTTTGTTCATATCATGACCCATAACAATCTCAAAAGAGAAACAATCTCTTGTCTTCCTTGTTTAGGCTTAGGAGAACCTGTAGTAAGTAAGCAGCAGCAGCGGAACTCAAACTCGACTCTTCCTACTGTCATTCTCTCTATTACACCACAAGGCATCAGAGGACCACTAGAGTCGCCTCCCTAGGGTTAGGGTTAGGGCAAGGTAAATGAAGTGAGTCAGCAAGGGCAGGATAGGAACCTGTCTTTATTAACATTTTGATATTTTGTTTATCATGGATTTGTTGCATTAATTGCAACTTTTAAAAATCATTGCATTAAAATATTATTGATCTTGATTACTGAGTTTTTAGGTGTACCCTTAAATGTTGCACCTCTGACTTACTAGTCTCACCCTGATCCCTGTCCTGGATCTATGCCTGTCTGTTCTATATCAGCCTCTTGCTTTGACCATAAGAATAACTTCAGACCTTTAAGCATAGAGGAAATAGGATTTCTGTCTCCCTTCCCCACCTTTGTGATAATCTCAGCTTCTGCTTTTAAAGTCTATCTCCCAAGTAGTTTGCCTACTATGTTCCTCCCAAGGTCACTAGGTTCTGTGAAACTAGCAGCAGGCTAGATTGTCACATTAGCACAAAGGATCCACTATTCCTGCAGCCGAGCTGGGACAAGCACTTAGGCCCACTGACTCCAACCCTTCAATAGCCTGGGACCTACGTTGTCTCCAGGTGGTATAAAACAAGAATTTCCCCTTTGACTGGGAGAAAAAGGGAAGAACTCTAAATTGGAAAACAGGTCATCTCGAATTCTCACAGGTGGAAATTTCTGACAACCCCTTTGGGACCCACAATTCAACACACCCCAAATGGGGACAGTAGCTAACATGCAACCTGTAGGCTGTTCTGTCATCCAGTGCCACTGTGCTGCACACCACCAGGGGGCAGCATTCTCATTGGCTTCTATGTGCCTGGAGCCCAGTGCAGTTGTGCAACACTGCAGCTTTGCTTTAGTGTAGTCCCTGATGGGTTCAGTCAAGAAAATGTCTATAGAATCAGCTAATCTCCCATGCAGTTAAGTCTCTAATTGAAATATTTTCTCTGCTCAGCCCAGGGACAGCAATCTTTCCTGGATTTGCTATTTACAAGGATCTCTAGAAATTATCCACCAGAAATATGGGCTTTCTCAGAGCTTGAGTGGACAGGGAATTAAGGTGGAAGGCAGGGCGTTTTGACTGCATTTGACCCAAGTCCTGAAGAGCCAGCTCCTCTCTCTTCCTAATTATTAGAAGGTTTTGTTTGGACCCAGTGTTTCACGTGTATACAATACAAACTTCTCTCTTTTCTACTTGGATCAAATTTGTTCTCTCAAAATAAGATTCCCAGCAGTGAGAGAAGACAAGACAGAGAGATCCAACATCTCTAAAGCCATGAATCAGATAACCAGCCACTTGTTCTCTTCAGTGCTGGGAACAGATACACTGTTAAATAAAATGATTTTATAGATTCTTCTCACTGCCTTTCCAAGAAGGGGATTTATCAACTTCAGGGCACAGCAATCATTTATTCCCAGACTACTGGCATGCATATATATATATATTTACTTCTCTTGACTTAGAAAAAAGAGAGAATTGGAGTTGTGAATATTCCTGTCTCCCTCACCCCAGCCCCCTTGAAGTGAGTCAGGACAAACTTGGGGCCCAAATGGAGCTGTAAGTAACTGAGTCACATGCAGAGATGAAACCTTCACAGACCCACTGATATGGAGGTTGAAGATTAAATTCCCCTTTGAGAATAACTGGGTAACACTCATACAGAGACTACTTTCAAGAAGGCCAGATCCTCCCTCTAATGTATAGTGCAACGTTCCTAACCCTCAGCCCACTCCGTCATACCCCCACTCACATGAATACACACATAAGCAGTAATATAAAGCACTTCCCACCATAGGGCAGCAAAGAAGGAGGGAAATCTTTATTATGGAAGAGTGGAAGGAAGGAAGGGAAGGGAAGGGAAGGGAAGGGTAAGAGGAAGAATTCTCAGGGTGAGCAGAGGAATGACATGTTTGGGGCATAATGAAGATAATTGAAGTGCAGAGTTTGTATGGAAAAATTTGAAAATATCAGGTGGCAGGCCAGGCATGGTAGCTCATGCCTGTAATCCCAGCACTTTGGGAGGCCAAAGCAGGCGGATCACCTGAGGTCACGAGTTTGAGACTAGCCGGGCCAACATGGCAAAACCCCATCTCGACTAAAAATACAAAAATTAGCTGGGTTTAGTGGCGCATGCCTGTAATCCCAGCTACTCGGGAGGCTGAGGCAGGAGAATCATTTGAGCCTGGGAGGCAAAGGTTGCAGTGAGTCGAGATCATGCTACTACACTTCAGCCTGGGTGAGAGAGCTTTCTTTTTTTTCTCTCACAAAAAAAGAAAAGTTCAGGTTGCAGAGATGGATGGATGGATGGATGGATGGATGGATGGATGGACGGATAGATAGACATTACAGAGAGTTTCCAATTCTTAGGATGAATTGGAATCCTTAAGTCTTTATTCTGTAAGAAAGGAAGGGGAGAATAAAATTTTGTGATTTTAAAATATTTTCTACCCTGTAGAGCTACCCTACAAGGCATGAAAACCTTAAAAAAAAAGGCATCTACTTTAAAAGAATAATGTCTAAAAAATTAGAAATTCCCTCTTTTTGCCCTGACCTTTGGGAAACAGAGTGAGTGATCCTTTTGAGGTTTTTGGCACTGCCTTGCCTGTGATCATATCCTGAACCCTAGGTCCATAATCATGCAGTTACCTCAGATGTCCCTTTCCCTCTAGCCACAGGTAACACGCTCTCCAGGCACTGGGAAAGTGGGTAATTAGGAAAGCAGAGGAGTACCCATGGGCTGTGATGCCCAGTTATAAACCCAGACATTTCAGAATTAACAGAATGAGCATCAAGTCCTCAAATGGGTCTACATCCATAAACATGTCCAGCAGTCAGCTCTTTACTGTCAGTAGAGACAAAATGTTCCTACACTTTCCCTAGGGGAAGCCACATCCTCAGTAGGTTATCTCTGATGAGTCCAGCTAGTCACAGGTATGTAGAAGCTGCATGCAGCAGAGGGCTCAAAGGAGGGTCCAGAATAGATACCAAAGCAAAAGGGGAGTCTGTGCACGTTCTCACACGCACCCCGAAACACTCTTTTTGTTCACAAAATAGATGGTGTAGGGTAGTTCCAAGAGATCATTTAGCTCAGGTTCCTGCCTCCATAAAATAAATAAGCCTTCCATATTAGTTGTCTGTTGCTGTGTAGCAAATTGTCAGAAACGTAGAGGCTTAAAGCAATACCCATTTATTATCTCGCAAGTTCTGTATCTCAGAAGTCCAGGCAGGCTTGACTGGGTTCTCTGTCCAAGTTCTCGTGAGACTGAAATCAAGGTGTTGGCCAGGCTGGGATCTTATCTGGAGGCTCTGAGGACATATACGCTTCCAACCTTATTCAGGCCATCAGCAGAATCCCGTCTCTTGTGGCTTGAGGTTGGAGGTCCCCGTTTCCTTGCTGGCTGTCATCCAGGGACCACTCTTTGCACCTACAGGCTGCCTATGTTCCTATTCACAAGACACCGTTCATCTTCAAACCAAAGCAGCATGTAGAATCTTTCTTGTGGCTCGTATCTTTCTGGCTTTCCCTTCTTCTTTAGCCAGAGAAAGTTCTTTGCTTTTAAGCGTTCATGCGATTCAATCAGGCCCACCTGGATAATGTCCCTATTTTAAAGGTAACTGTGATACCGTATAACATTTCAGGAGTGATAACAGCACATTTACAGGTTCCAAGGATTGGGGCAGAACATCTTTGGGGGAACATTTTAGAAACTCTGCCTCCCCACTCACCCATAATCCTTTTAAAAACCAAATCTTGAAGCCTTTTTTTCCCAAAGGCCTTTTTGAATAAGCACATTTATACCTAACTTCATCAGACACCCACTTTGAGCAAACACTAGCATGTGGCAAAATAGGCTGTAAATCAATCAGAACTATTCTTTCCCACCACAATCTTTCTCAAACACATTGGGAGAATCTGACACTGTCAGTGGTATACCAGAGCAGACTCCTACCATCTCACAAGAGCTGACTGTTAAATGTTTAGTAATTGTGGACATTGGTTGTTAAACTATTAGTAGCCTGAAATTGACTATAGTGAGAGTATTTTCACCATGGAAAGCAACCGTTCCAAATCAGGGTTTCTCTTTATTCCTGGGAAGCTGGTTTATTAGCTCACCACTGGCTGTAGTCCTTTAGGGGTCATTACTTGACCTCCTGTAGCATGCAGGAATCCTCTCCATGGCCTTTTTTATGCATGGACATCATCCTATTTTTTAATACCAGGAATGGGGTGATCACTCTCTTATAAGCTAGTTCATCTCCCTGATGGAATGGTATGTGGTAGAGTTGAAACCCACCTCCCTGGAACTTCCCACCAACTTCCTTTGGAAGCAGCACTTGTGACAGCCCCAGAACCATTTGGAGTAAGTAGCATTTCCTCCAGGAGACATCTCTCCTCTGGATCCACAAATCAATAGTTAGATGCAAAATCTTTAGAGCCACACTGTTTGAATTCAATTCCCAGCTCTGCCACTTATTTAGTTATAACCTTAGGCAAGTCTCTTAACTTTTCTGGTCCTCTGGTTCTTCATGTGTGGGAATGGGGATAAAAATAGCACCTACCTCATAGGTTATTATGAATATTAAATGAGATAATGTGTGCAGAGAAAATAGCACCTGGTCTGGCCTCTACCTATCTAACAGGTTAGTTGTGAGGATTAAATTACTTAATATAAGCAAAATGCTTAGAGCTCTGCCTAGCACAAAATAAGCACTATGTAACTATTGGTAAGTTAATTTGAAATGTGGTTTCTAGATCTCTCATCATCCTAGTCACCCTACTCTGGATGTACTCCAAAGTCCCTCTCAAGATATAGTGTCAGAATTGACCTAATTAGTCCAGCATTTGACTGAAACGCTAGACTTTGACTCCAGCCCCCCATCCTTGACTGGCACTAGCATTCAAGCCGCTTCTCCTCTTTCCCTGGGTCTTTAATAGAGTCAGAGCGACTTCTCCAGGGGATCTTTTGGCCATGGACCAGTAGCATCCACACACGCTGGGGCCTTGTTAAAAAGGCAGGCTCTCAGGCCCCACCCCAGATCTACTGAATCAGAATCCACACATTAACAAGATGCTTGGGTGATTCATGTGCACATTAAAGTTTGAGAAGCACCGCTTTCAGGGACGAGATGACACACTTATTTTAAAGAGAACGCCAATTAGAGACCCTAAGCCTTCTCATGGAACAGGGGCCTTCCCCTCAGACCTTGGGAGAGGGGTCAGGGAAATATCAGTGTTGGGTTGTTGGTGACAGGTGGCGGTGGGGGGTTCAGTCCACGTTCAAAGAGCCAGAAACCTGGCAGGGGAAGAGATGGGGCAGTGACACCCAACCGGAAAAATAAAGGAAACTACAAGAAGAACCCAGCTAAGAGATGTGAGGCTTCTGAAAGCTCCCATGGAAAGGTTCGCAGCTCCTCCACCTGCTCGGTCCAGCTGCCCCAGGTCAAGGAAGCTCTGTGAGTGTTAGCTGACCCGGAGCAGCAAGGATACATTCAGAAGTGATGAAAGGGAACGCTTCTTGACAGGGTAAAGAGTCATTCAGTAGGAATGAGACAGGAAGAGGTCACAGAGTCAGAAGCCCAGCCTGTACTCAGAGATTATTTCTGGCATGGGAGGGCCGAAGGGTTAGGAGGCCACCTACTCACAATACAATACAGAGGCAGATCCACTTATTACCTGCCTGTGCTGCTGGGATTTCAGTGTGGAAATTCTGTGCCTCCTCACTGTGGCTGCAGCTTGGGAATGACATCCAGAGCTTACCCACCTGCATAAGAAATAAGCTATAGGTGTAATAGGGGGACATAGGCTAAAATCCTAGCTCAGCTGCTTAATAGCTGTGCGACTGAGCAAGTTACTTAACCTCTTTGAGCATCTGTTTTCTCATCTTTAAAATGGAAGTAATCATAATTGACCAGGCCCAGTGGCTCACACCTATAATCCCAGCACCTTGGAAGGCCGAGGCCAGTGGATTGCTTGAGCCCAAGAGTTTGAGACCAGCATGGTGACACCTCGTCTCTAGAAAAAATACAAAAATTAGCCAGGCATGGTGGCAGGTGCCTGTAGTCTTAGCTACTCGGTAGGCTGAGGTGGGAAGATTATATGAGCCCGGGAGGTTGAGGCTGTGGTGAGCCAGATTGTGCCACTGCAATCTAGCCTGGAGACAGAGTGAGACTGTGTCTCAAAAATAAATAAATAAAATAATAATATCTATGTTAATAAAGCAGAAATAAGAATGAAATAAGAGGCCTGACATGGTGACTTATGCCTGTAATCCCAGCACTTTGGGAGGTCAAGGTGAGAGGATCACTTGAGCCCAGGAGTTCAAGATCAGCCTGGGCAACTTAGTGAGGTCCCATCTCTACCAATAATAATTTTTTAAAAATTAGCTGGGCATGGTGGCATGCACCCGTGGCCCCAGCTACTCAAGAGGCTGAGGCAGGAGGACGGCCTGAGCACAGGAGTTGAGGCTGCAGTGAGTCATGATCACACCACTGCACTCCGGCCTGGGTGACAGAGTGAGACCCTGTCTCAATAAATAAATAAGAAGAATGAAACAAGAAAGTTCTTCTTATGGTTCTCATGGTGGTGAGCACAATGTAAGCATATATATTATCTTAGAATTCTTCCTTCCTGTATAAAGAAGGCCTCCTCCAATGTATTAATCATCTGTTCAACTAATAAATGCTGCTTACTCCCACTTTCACTCTAAAGGAACTCAATGGCTAAAGAGAACCCTTCCCCTTTGCAGCACCCTGAGGATCAGAGGCCTGATTTGAATGTCCTCGATGCAAAGGACTATTTCAAAAGGCCAGCCAGGCAGCCCAGACATGTATTTCCTAATCGTCTCCAGGTTGTTTGATAGAAGATCTCCTGGGAGCAGGTTTCCGCAGCAGCTCAGCCAGGTCTGTTCTGGGAACGCTGTGTGCATTGGCACCTCCCTTGGCAGAAAGCTTGGAGGAAAGGCAGGTGCAGGTCCTGGAGCCTCTGACAGCATTACTGGCTCTAGGAGTAGCTGCTCAGGATAATCTGTCCCCATGACCATTAAGTAACTGCCACTGTGCGGGAAGAAGAACTGGAAATGGGGGGCCCAAAAAAATCTGAAAACCCTCACTTGAACCAGTAAGTTATACCCTGGGTTGCTGTTGGAGAGAGCTTCCTTGGAGTAGACAAATGTGGTATGTTAAGTAAACTGGGGATCTAGGTTTGATGATACTGGGTCTGCAGCTTCTTTGTCCCACTGAAAATCCTCGGGCATTCCATGAAAGTAGCCTTCAAAATATTTTTGTCTCTAATGACATATTTTTGCTGCAAAAAGATGAGTGGATTCATTTTACGAAGTCTCAAGTGTGTTAGAAATTCACCATGAGTCACTCAGCAAGTTATGTTTGAGGGCGTTCTGTATGCCAGGCACTGTGCTGGGCACTGGGACTACTGTAGCAAGTCAGATAGACAAGAACTTGCTTGATCTTGGAAGTAAGCAGGGTGGGGTCTGGTTAGTCCTTGAATTGGAGACTGCCTGGAGATACTGGATGCTGCAAGCTTTTGAAAAAAGACAAGTTCTCTGTACTTGCAGAGCTTACATCCAGTAACTAACTAACTAACTTCAGGCTGTGTTGAGTGACTGAAAGTGGTGGAGCCAGGAGTCCTCTAGATAAGGTAGCCATGGAAGGCCTCTCCGAAGAGGTGATAAGTTTACTCAGAGACGCAAACGATCAGGATAAGCACAGACCCCGGTGAAGAGCGTCCCAGGCAGAGGGGATAGCAAGGGGATTGCCCTTAGGTGGGAAAGGGCTTGATTTGAGGACTGGGAAGACCAGTGTGTCTAGGACACATAAGCAAGGGGAGGACGTTATGAACGAGGTCTGAGGGGTCAGCAGCGACTGGATCATGCAAGCTCCCATAGGCCATGGTAAGGGCTCTGTGTGTACTACAATTACAGGATGCATGATAGGACCTGGGCTGCATTTTTAATAGTTAACCCTGGCTATAATGTGGGGAAGGGATTGAAGAAAGAGGGCAAAGGCAGGAACAGGAAAATCTCTTAGGAGGCTACTGCAAAGCCCAAGGGAGAGGTGATGGTGTTTTGTTGTTGTTGTTGTTTGTTTTGTTTTGCTTTGAGAAGGAGTCTCACTCTGTCGCCCAGGCTGGAGTGCAATGGCACAATCTCGGCTCACTGCAACCTCCGCCTCTTGGGTTCAAGCAATTCTCCTGCCTCAGTCTCCCAAGTAGCTGGGATTACAGGCATGCACCACCATGGCTGGCTAATTTTTGTATTTTTAGTAGAGACAGAGTTTCCCCATGTTGGTCAGGCTGGTCTTGAGCTCCTGACCTCAAGCGATCCACCCGCCTCGGCCTTCCAAAGCACTGGGATTACAGGTGTGAGGCACCGCGCTGGCCAAATGATGGTGTTTTGATCTGGGTCTTAAAGGCAGAAGGAAGGGGGGTAGTAAATTAACTGTGCTGGGGAAGAGAGGGAGGCCTGAGAGTGAGGAAAGAATGAGGGGTGATTCCAGGTTTAGGAAAACTGGGCAATTTGTTAGATGATGGTGCCATTGACAGAAATGGGAAAGAACAAGTTTGGAAAGAAAACTCAAGATCTGGCTGGTGACTTGTATTAAACTTAAAGCCTCATTTGTGACTTGAGCAGAAGTAAGGACTTTCTCCAGTG